>NC_000005.10:178770237-178920682 GCF_000001405.40 Homo sapiens | reverse complement strand
GTGGAAATTCTGGAAGTGAAAAATATACAATTTTTTTTTTTTTTTTGAGACGAAGTCTCACTCTGTTGCCCAAGCTGGAGTGCAGTGGCGCGATCTCGACTCACTGCAACCTCTACCTCCCGGGTTCAAGCGATTCTCCTGCCTCAGCCTCCTGAGTAGCTGGGACTACAGGTACACGCCACCATGCCCGGCTAATTTTTGTATTTTTAGGAAAGACGGGGTTTCACTATGTTGGCCAGGCTGGTCTTGAAATCCTAACCTCGTGACCCACCAGCCTTGGCCTCTCAAAGTGCTGGGATTACAGGTGTGAGCCACCACACCTAGCCCTACAGTATTTTTAATATATAAACACTTATTTATTGATATAGAAAATAGAAATCTTGCTAAATAGGTCCAACAGCAGAAGGGTGAAAAAAGGAAAGAATTAACTTGAAGACAGATTAAAAGAAATTATTCAATCTGAACAACACAGAGAGAAAAGATTGAGAAAAAATAAAGATGAAGAGCACCTCAGGGATGTATGGGACAACAACAAAAGATCTCATATATGTCTCACTGGAGTCCCAGAGAAGGAGAAAATGTTTGGTGCTGAAAAAGTATTTGAAGAAATCATGGTTAAAAGCTTATATTTGACAGAAGATTTCAACCTATAGGAACAGGGTAAACCCAAAGAAATCCACGCCCAGATGCATCATAATCAAATTTTTTTTTTTTTCTTTTGAGACAGAGTCCACTCTGTCGCCCAGGCTGAAGTGCAGTGGTACAACCTTGGCTCACTGCAACCTTCACCTCCTGGGTTCAAGCGATTCCCGTGCCTCCTCAGCCTCCCAAGTAGCTGGGACTACAGGCATGCACTACCACACCCAGGTAGTTTTGTATTTTTTGCAGAGAAAGGGTTTCGCCATGTTTTGCCCAGGCCAGTCTCAAACTCCTGGCCTCAAGTGATCCACCTGCCTTCACCTCCCAAAGTGCTGAGATTACAGGTGTGAACCACTATGCCCAGCCATAATTAAATTCTAAAAATGGAAGTAAAAAACAATCTTGAAAGCAACCAGGGAAAATTGATACACTACTTGGTGGCAGGGCAAAAATGTGAATAACTGAATTTCTCATCAGAAACCATGGATGCCAGAAGGAAGTGGATTAATTATTTCAAAGTGCTGAAAGAAATAACCATAAACCTAGAGTTCTATATTAGCAAAAATCTTTCAGGAATGAAGGTGAAATAAAGACATTCTCATATGAAAGAAAACTAAGAGAATTTGTCACCAGCAGACCCACCCTGTTAAGTCATTGTAATATCAGAGCCAGAACTCTTAATGTTTTTAAACAATGCTGGTTACTTAGACATCAAGAGTATAACTAGCACGAAGAAGGATTTATCCAGGAAATAAAGAATGGTTCACTATTAAGAATCTATTACTATCATATTAATAGGTCATAGGTCATATGATCAACCTGATAGATGGTTCAGAAGTATTCAACTGGTATCCTTCATCCATTCGTGTTCAAAAACAAAAATATTAGCATTGCACCAAGAATACAAATAAAGCCCTAGAAGAATTCTCTCTAATAACAGAACCAAGGAAAAGGTGCTTACTATTACTACTACTATTTAATGTTATTCCAGAAGTGTGACCAATATGGCCACTGAGATGGGGGGAAATTTTTAATTTTTCCCAGATTATATAACTGTCTACCTACAAAATGAAAAACGGTTAGGGGGGCTTTACTCAGAATTGATGGAGTATTGTGGGCTTGGAGCCTGAGCAGTATAGGTCAGAAACTGTAGCTCTTCCAGGATTAAACAATGTTTCAGATCCTTGACATTTTACTATCTCATTAAATAAGGACTTTATAAAGCACAAAGCATTATGCTTGGATGTAATAAGGATCCAGTGATTATTAGCTGTTATCATTACCATCATTACTATTTTACATTAAGCAACATACAGTTCTCTCTGCCTTTCCTTTTTTCCTAAACAAGACTTTTGAGTAATAATACTGGAAATACTCAATACTCCCTTAACGGCTTGGAATGCTTTTTCTGCCTTCACTCGTTAACTTATAGGATTTATATAACTCTGATACTCACCAGGACATGAACTAGAGTCTCCAGACCAAGGTGTCTGGTCTGTCACAGACCCCTTAGTACACACGGCTGGCACAAGCCATAGCAGAGGCTGGGAGCTTGCACAGTATGGGTGTGTGGGATGGGACTGGGCAGCAAGCAGGTCCCATGCTTCTTGAAAAGGGCAAGTTGATTTATTTATTTTCTCCTTTTATATTTCTTCCATCCTCTGGGTAACAGTTAGCTACTCCTAACACCCAACTAGACTATTTCTATACCCACCTGTCTGGATTTTCTATTTAAACTCTTGCTACCCTACAATGCATTCTCTCCATATAGCAGTCAAACTGGTTTTATGAACACGATAAATCATTCATTCAATAAATACTTATCAAGCCAGGTACTGTTCTGGGTGCTCAGGATATAGCAATAAACAGAAAAAATGTCTGCCCTTATGAAACATATTTTAGCAAGAGAAAGGGAGACAATAAGTAAGTGGTATACCTTACAGAAAAACAATAAAAGCATTTAAATGGATATAGGGAACATGATGGGTGAGAGAAAACGTCTGCAATTTTAAAGTGGGTCATAAGAAAAGGCCTCACTGAAAAGGTGACATTTAAACCAAGACTTTAAGGGACTAAGAGAGGAAGTCATAGGACTATCTAAGGGAAAGCTTCCCAGACAGGGTAACAGCCAGTGCTAAGGCCCTGAGGCAGCAGTGGGCCTGTCTTATTTAAGGAAGAATGAACTTTTTGAATACTTCTACATTCATTATAGTATTTTAGATCAGTTTTCCTAGTAACGAAAGCAAAGATATGTGTACGTATTAAACATCAGTGAGGCTCATGTGAGCATGCAGGCAGATAGAGACTCTTAACTATATAAATTCTCTGTGTATGTTTCTCTATATATGTACACATATATTTACATGGACAGACATACATATATGCAGAAGTAGTTATCCAGTACATCTCTGAAAATTTTTTTTTTTTTTGAGATGGAGTCTTGCTCTGTTGCCCAGGCTGGAGTGCAGTGGCATGATCTCGGCTTACTGCAACTTCCACCTCCCGGGTTCAAGTGATTCTCACGCTTCAGCCTCCTGAGTAGCTGGAATTATAGGTACGTGCCACCATACCTGGCTAATTTTTGTATTTTTAGTAGAGACGGGGTTTCACCATGTTGGCCAGACTGGTCTCGAACTCTTGACCTCAAGAGATCTGCCCGCCTCAGCCTCCCAAAATGCTGGGATTACAGGTGTGAGCCACGACGCCCGGCCACATTTTTAAAAATCATGTGTGAAACACAGACAGCAGGCTCCTATGTTTAGGGATGGTTAGGGTGGCTTCCTGGAGAGCTAAAAAGATTATAGAATCCCCAACTGTATTTTTACACATAATCTTTGATAGTACTTTATTCATGTTCTTAATTTTTATCTCCTTCATAACTGAATATGATTAAATGATTTAAATCTAATTGCTATTGATGAGAGGCTAAAAGACACTGCTTTCCACATTACTAAAAATTTCTATCTTTTCTCAAAATTAGTCAGTTTACAATGAAAATACTGGCACCAGGGACAGCACTTCTGGATTTGCAGTTTCTATTCATCTTTTGTAAAACAGGAGCAAAAATCTAACAATGCTTTCAACTGTACAAAGCTTTAGTACAGAGAAAAGAAATGATGCTGAAAAGAAAATTAGGCCAGGATACAGAAGTTTCTAGTTTTACTAAATATACTAGGAAATAACAACACAGCAGGGCAAGGGAAGAAAGCGAGAATTACCATTAAACTCAAAGTAAAAAACCAACAAAACAAAAGATATGTGTTCAGATTCTGACATGTTATTTCACCTTTCAGAGCCAATGTCTTCCACCGTAAGAGGAGTACCAGTACTTACCTATAGATGTTTTGTGTCAAGTAAGTGAGATGCTGGCTGTGGAAGAGCTGAGCACAGCACTCAGTCAATACTTTCTCCCCTTGACTGGGACAGGATAATGAGAGGACTAAATGTCAGATTAATCTGACAGCAATATCCAAGAAAATCTGGAAAGAACAAGATCTGGAGTTTGCAAATCATCATGTTCTATGGGCTCCTTTCCATTCAACTTTCGCCTATCTTTAGTTTCTCCCACTGCAATGGACACCTCTCTGCTCTTTCAGATACACTCAAGTCTTTTCCTTGTTAAAAAACAAACCACAGGCTTCTTCTGAGTTCTTACTCTTTCTTCCTTTTCCTTAGAAGCTGGCCTTGTTGAAACGACAGTCTGTACTTAAAAGTCTTCACTTGCTTGCTTCCTCTTCACTTTTCTGCCCACAGCGTATTTCTCTCAGCACTAAATGGGCTCTTCCCTGGGTCCCAGGCCACTCCCTCATCACCAAATCCAACAGGCATTTTCATTCCCTACTTGGCACTGTCATACTCTACCTTGACTCTCCTCTCTCCCTTCGACCATGTTCTCCTGCTGGGCCCTCTCCTCCTCCTTGGACCACTCACCTTCACCAGAGCATCCTTGGCCCCCTCACTATGTTATTGTCCTGAGGGTCCCACCTTTGCTGTTTTGCCCTGCCCACTCATTCATTCATCCCAATAATTATCCAATCTGTATTGATATGAATTTCATAAATTCAAATTTATATTTTCACCAGATTTATGAAAATTCTAATTGATGTCATTAAATATTCACTCAACAAATATTTAAGTACTTACTCCAGCAAGCAATGTCATAGTCAGGGAATGTAAAGAAAAACATGTTCAATGACAATTCGGTGAGCCTACATATTAGTGGGTATTGCTCCGCTGCCCAGGCTGGAGTGCAGTGGCACAATCTCAGCTTACCGCAACCTCAGCCTCCCGGGTTGAAGTGATTCTTGCACCTCAGCCTCCCGAGTAGCTGGGATTACAGGTGCACGCAACCATGCCCGGCTAAAGACAGACAGACATGGAAAATGATGAGCAAAATACAGTGTCACATGCAGTAAAAAAAAAAACAAGTGAGCTGGGTGCCATGGCTCACGCCTATAATCCTAGCACTTTGGGAGGCTGAGGTGGGCAGACTGCCTGAGCTCAGGAGTTTGAGACCAGCCTGGACAACACAGTGAAACCCTGTCTCTACTAAAATGCAAAAAATTAGCCGGGCACGGCAGTGTGCACCTGTAGTCCCAGCTACTCAGGAGGCTGAGGCAGAAGAATTGCTTGAACCTGGAAGGCGGAGGTTGCAGTGAGCCAAGACTGCACCACTGCACTCCAGCCTGACTCCATCTCAAAAAAAAAAAAAAAAAAAAAAAGAAAGAAAAACCTTTAGGTTCTAACCCAGTAGGGAAGCACGAATGGGGTAAAGAAGTGGGAGATGAAAACACAGTATCAAAATATATGTGTTTGCTTCTGCTGCTTCCAGAAAACCCACCAGAATGACAATAAGCAATGAAAATGGCATCAATAAAATAATCTAGGGAGCAAGGAAAAAACTGCTGCACATACATACCAGAAAACCAGAAACAAAAACAATGAAATACTCCCAAACAGATGAGTGAAGTTAGTGTATGCGTTAGAAAGACTGCTATTTAAGAAGAACATTCAGACAATGAGTGGCTCACAGAAATTTAAAAAATGATAGTACAAATAGATCTTTTTACAGAAGGACTGAAACGTAAGGTTTACAGAAATCTTCGTATCTGCTAGCACACTCCCCTTCAAACAATGCCACACAATCTCCTACCTCAGGGCCTTCGCACCTGCTGTTCCCTATGTCCTCAATGTTCTCCCATGTGGCCCATCACTTTGAGTATTTGCTCAAAAGTCTCATTAAAGGAGAAGCCCTCCCTGTAAAATCACACTCCTGTTAACTAATGTCATTCTCTTATGCTGCTTTATTTTTCCACACCGCACCTATCACTGTGTTATATTCATTTCCTCCCTTCCTGCCTCCTTTCCTTTCCCTTCTGTCCCCCCCTCCCTTCTTCCTTTATTGTCTCCCCATTAGAATATAAGCTCCTCAAAAACACTTTGCCTGCTGTGCTTATTGCTGTAGTCCCAGTGCTAAGAATAGTACTCAATAGATATTTGTTGAATAAATAGGTTATTTACATAAGAATACAAATATCAATAGTAATAAAATCCATAGAAATCTGTAATAAAAGTAATTAACACTACCTTTCATTTTATACCAAAGAAATTATCATTAAACACAAAATAGTATCTAAAGCAGTGCAATATGTAGCAAGACCATAAAAAATGGATATATCCTTTGACCCAGTGATTCCTCTCCCAGAATCCCATTCTTTAAAAAAACTTGTGGGAAACCAGCAGTGATGGTTACAGGCAATGTTTTTCCTATAATTGTGTTCCTTTAATGATTTCTTTCATTGTTTTATCTTAGATAGCTTTATATTATCTAGAGATTAAATATTTGCCTATCTCTTTAATTTAAAAAAAATATACAAAGAAATGATTAGGGCCAGGCACGGTGGCTCACGCCTGTAATCTCAGCACTTTGGGAGGCCAAGGCAGGCGGATCACGAGGTCAGGAGATCGAGACCATCCTGGCTAACACAGTGAAACCCCGTCTCTACTAAAAGTACAAAAAATTAGCTGGGCGTGGTGGCGGGCACCTGTAGTCCCAGCTACTCCGGAGGCTGAGGCAGGAGAATGGTGTGAACCCGGGAGGCGGAGCTTGCAGTGAGCTGAGATTGTGCCACTGCACTCCAGCCTGGGTGACACAGCGAGACTCCATCTCAAAAAAAAAAAAAAAAGAAAAAAAAAGAAATGATTGGTACTTTTGCACATGGTAGAGAAGATAAAGATGTAAAATGCATTTTTTTTTTTTGCAGAGAAAAGTCAGTAATAACACCTAAAACAGAAATTTCAGTTGTGATAAGGATTAGAAACCAGATAACAAAGATAAAGGAGCATTCAACATTTTGAGGTAAATGGCATTGAATGGGTAGTAATGCAGATTAGAATTTTGGGAATGAGAAAGAAAATATACACAATGTAAGGCTGCTAGAAATGAAAACAAGGCTAACATCATTTTTCATGTTTTTAAATGAAGACTGTCTAAAACTCTCTCACACAATGCAGAGGAAGAGAAATGTTAGTTTCCTTTGAAGGAGAAAAAGCTTACAAATATTTACATGAATGACAGAAAGGAAGCTATGGATATACGTTATGGTTGAGAGGAAACACTCATGAAAGACAGTAAAAGCCCAGAGAAGATGCGTAAAGACAGGGTTTCAATTCAGAATGCAGAGGAAGACAGAAGAGGACATAGTGGTTGCTAACATTTACCAAATGCTCAGTATGTTCCACGCAGTGGGTAAGTGCCATAAATGTAAAAACTCATTTACTCCTCATAATCCACCACCTCCCTGCAAGATGACATAAGTGAGCCCTAGAGAAAAGAGGCCCATCAGTAATGCGGAGGTGTCATCTGAGAACACACATCCAGTGGCCCTAGTCTCTCCAGAGACCCAACAATCTCTGAAGTGATTTTCCCCAAAGACACACTCATTTAACAAGTCTGCACAGCCTGGCACTTACCTCGAAAGCCACCCTCAGGCGGTTCTTTTTGCATCAGACTCAGTTCTCGTTCCAGCTGGGAAGTCCCATTGGGTTTGGAAAGGTGATTTCCTGCTTAAGAGGAGAGACATTAAATTTGGGTTCTGAACTGAGCCTAAAAACCAATCCTAGCAGAGTTCTGATCATTTCTCCTTCAGGGCTTCTGAAACAAGGAAGGTGTGGCTTATGAAGTTCCCCATTTTCCATTCTCTACAGAAAATTTCAATCTTCTGCCTTGAAAGAGAGGACACCAAGCAAACACCCTAAAACAATGCCTTATGATCAGGCCTTATGATTGTCAAGAGGTGGGTTTTGAGTTACAAGAAGTCCTTACCCAGTGAGACCGGGTTCCTGTAGTTCTCCAGCATCACCTCCCCATACACGGTCATCCTCTGAGCAGAATCTGCTTGAATCCACTCTTCCCAAGAGAAATCTATGGACACATCCTTGAAGGTCACTGACTCCTGAAACTAAAAATTCCTCAATAAGGGATTATGCCAACCAAACCCTCTGAGGGGAGTGAAAATCCCAGCAGCACTGAAAGGACAAAGATCTGCCTGAGAAAACATGCTGCCCTCCAGATGGAAGAAAATGTCTGCCACCAATCACGAAATAACCAGAGACATAATATAAAAAGTGTTTTGGGAGGTAAGGACAGGAAGAGTAGGTATAAGTGAGAAATAAGGAAAGGCACTAAAGGCGGCTCTAGATTCCCATGGGAGAGGAAGGAGTGGTGTTGTGATCACCTCCTATTCACCTCATTGGTGAAGGAAGGAATCCCTGCCCCAAATGGTACATGATGACCAAACACAGGACACTTGACACTCAACAGATGAGGTCGATAGCAATTTATCAGCCACATACAGTCACAGCCCAGCCCTCGTTCTTTTCTTTTCTTTTCTTTCTCTTTCCTATTTTTTTGAGACCGAGTCTTGCTCTGTAGCCGAGGCTGGAGTGCAGTGGCACGTTCTCGGCTTACTGCAACCTCCACTTCCTGGATTCAAGAAATTCTTCTGCCTCAGCCTCCCGAGTAGCTGGGATTACAGGTGCCCACCACGCCTGGCTAATTTTTGTAATTTTAGTAGAGATGGAGTTTCACCATGTTGGTCAGGCTGGTCTCAAACTCCTGACCTCAAGTGATCCACCCACCTCTGCCTCCCAAAGAGCTGGGATTACAGGAGTGAGCCACCGTGTCCGGCCAGATAAATTACTTAAAACTTTTTGTAAAGAAAATGAGAGTAAGACTATGGAAATAAGAATAGATAATAGAAATAAAGCAATAGAAAAGGTTTTCATCATTTAAGGACAGAGAGCATTTTGATATGTAAATAAGGAAAAGGGAGAAAGTACAACTGACCCTTGAATACATGGGGGTTAGGGACACCAACCTCCCTCACAGTCTAAAATCCATGTGTAACTTTTGACTCCCCCAAAACTTAACTCCTAATAGCCTAGTGTTGACTGGAAGCCTTACTAATAACGTAACAGTTATTTCACATATACTCATTAAATGGAACTGGATCATCATAAAAGTCTTTCTCCTTGTCTTCACATACAGACGGCAGAGGAGGAGGAAGGAGAGGAGAGGTTGGTCTTGCTGTCTCAGGGGTGGCGAAGGTAGAGCAGGTGGCAGGAAAGGCAGGCACACTCAGTGTAATTTTTATTGGAAAAAATCCACATCAAAGTGGGCCTGTGTAGTTCAAATTTGTGTTATTTAAGGGTCAACCGTAGTGGAGAAAGAAGGACTGAATACGAGACAGAGGGCAAAATCAATTTCCAAGAAATTTGTGTACTTCACATCCAAGACTAGGAACTCCAGAAAAAGTGTCAACACTCAGGCACAGAGTTCATTGTCTACCTTTCTTTCTACATCATTTTCTCCCTAATTTTTATTTAATCAATATTTCAAAGTTACAAAAATATATTAAAAATCACTGACAAATATTTTCAGGAAAAGTGCAGAATTTCCATTTTAACCAAGGAGAAAGGGAACTAAGAAAATCATCAGATGTTCAACAAACGTAAAGAAAGGAGAATAAAGGAAATAAGACCGCATAATAACCAGAAAAATACTTAACACACATATAGTGACAAACACCAATGGTTCGCTTTCCCTATTAAAAGGAACCTTTTTTCCCTATAAAAAGGTTCAGTCCCTAAAAATGAACCCAGTGGTTCACTTCCCTTGGCAGATGAAGGAGGCGGTGGCAGTGGTGGAAGAAGGGGTGGTGGCGGCAGGGGTAGGGAGCCTGGAAACCCCAGCGGGGATGGTAGGAGGGTTGGACCCGCCATGCTGCCATCGTTTCCAGAAAGGGTTTGACTGGAGGAACCTCTGGAGCAGCTGTTGGCTAGCTCCTCTGACTGATGACATGTTGAGGTGCATGGGCCAGCGGCAGTGAGGGCAACTGATCCAGAGGGGGCCATTCTAGAGGCCGGGACACCAGTACCATGGGCCAGTGTGTCACCAAGTGTAAGAATCCCTCATTGACCCTGGGCAGCAAGAATGCAGACCATGACCCCAGCAAGAAGTCACACAGCAGGCAGGGTGCAGGCCACTGTGAGGAGCAAGTACCACCCTGTGGCATGCCAAGTAGAGATAGCCTTGTCAATGGGACCAAGAAGGCCGAGGCTGCCAGCTGCCAACATCCTCAGGAGATGGTGGGAGGGAGTCCAACTCCAGTGCCGAGGAGTCTTCCTTGCAGGGGTTGGAAGAACTGTTCAGGTGCTACAAGGATGAGTGGGAAGATGCAATTTTGGAGGAAGGCATGGAGCACTTTTGCAATGACCTATGTGTCGACCCCACAGAATTCCGAGTGCTGCTCTTGGCTTGGAAGTTCCAGGCTGCAACCATGTGCAAATTCACCAGAAAGATTTTTGATGGCTGCAAAGCATTAAATGCAGACAGCAGTGACAGAATCTGTGCACGGTTCTCCAGCCTCTTAACAGAAGCCAAACAGGAGAATAAATTCAAGGATCTCTACCAGTTTACATTTCAGTTTGGCCTGGACTCTGAAGAAGGGCAGTGGTCACTGCATCGGCAAATAGCCATCACCCTATGGAAACTAGTCTCTACCCAGAACAATTCTCCAGTATTGGACCAATGGCTGAACTTCCTAACAGAGAACCCCTTGAGGATCAAGGGCATCTCCCGGGACTCTTGGAACATGTTCCTTAACTTCACTCAGGTGATTGGCCCTGACCTCAGCAACCACAGTGAAGATGAGGCCTGGCCAAATCTCTTCGACACCTTTGTGGAGTGGGAAATGAAGCGAAGGAAAAGAGAAGAGGAAGGGAGAGGTGCACTCAGCTCAAGGCCCGAGGGCTTGTGTCCTGAGGAGCAGACTTAGTGGCTCTGTCCCAGGAGCAGCAGCAAGGATCTGCCCGCTGCCCTGCAGCCAACTGAGGAATTGGACCTTTTGGGAAATTACTGAAGATCAGGATAGTTTCTACTTCACACCTTTGTTGGGGTGATCAGACTCAACACCAGGCCGTGGGGGCTACAAGTCCAGCAGAGTCAAAGGAATGAGCAAAGAGAAGTCAAGAGTGAAAGTGGGACCAGGGGGCCAATGCTAGTATGGAGGCTGCAAAGGCCCCAAGCTCTGGAAGCAAGCACTATTTACTGGTGATCAAACAAAGCAGCAGGTGGTGAGGATGTGGGGGTTGAAAGAAAACCATTTATCAAGCAATGATCTACAGCTGAGATGGTTTACCATTTTCTTTGAAGCATATGGAACATGTTCTGCTGCTTGAGATAATGGGAAACACGTTCTTCTAGTTTACGATACAATCGAACTATGAGCCTGGGAGTGCTAGAAGCAAGGAGCCAGCAAGTGTAGACACATTCCAGAGGCCACGAGGGGTTTTACGCCCTGAGCCCTGGATTCCATCCAGGCCACGAGGGGTTTTACGCCCTGAGCCCTGGATTCCATCCAGGCCACGAGGGGTTTTACGCCCTGAGCCCTGGATTCCATCCAGGCCACGAGGGGTTTTACGCCCTGAGCCCTGGATTCCATCCAGGCCACGAGGGGTTTTACGCCCTGGGCTTAGATAACGGTGCGGCAGGGCAGCCTTCCACCCTTTAGCACTAAACTTGGTATTCCAAAGGCCACGAGGGGTTTTAGACCCCAGACCCCAGACACGTTCCAAGACTCTTTTACACTATGTCAGACATGCAAGCCCTGCCTCAGCTTTTTTTCCCAACACTCAGCTTTTCTCCCAACATAGCTTTCTCTGCTTTGTATCTGAAAGGGCTCTAAAATGCTGTACCATGTTTTAGGCACTTTCTTCATTTTTTGGTTATTTTGGTTATTTCTTGTTTTGGGGGAATCTCCCAAAATATTTGAACCTGGCTACATGTTATCTTTTTTTTGTAGCCTTCAGATAGAATAAGCCTGCCATTTCTTGCACAAATTAGGTTTTTTTTTTTTTTTTTTGGTAGGGGAAGGCATAGAGCAGGGAGGGGGGGATGGGATGGTTAGGGTGAATTCACATTATAAAATGATACAGTGCCAGATCTGTTTTGCATATTGTTTCTAAGGGCAGGTCTGTACTGTGTGTAGCGCTATTTACATGGTTGAAATTAGGTTGTAATAATTTTTTTTTTTTTTGAGATGGAGTCTTCCTCTGTCACCCAGGCTGGAGTGCAGTGGCGCAATCTCGGCTCACTACAAGCTCCACCTCCCAGGTTCACGCCATTCTCCTGCCTCGGCCTCCTGAGTAGCTGGGACTACAGGCAACCACCACCACACCAGCTAATTTTTTGTATTTTTAGTAGAGACAGGGTTTCACCATGTTAGCCAGGATTGTCTCGATCTCCTGACCTCATGATCTGCCCACCTTAGCCTCCCAAAGTGCTGGGATTACAGACGTGAGCCACTGCGCCCAGCCAGTAATAATTATTTTTAAAGATTTACACAGATTTGAATAGGAGTGTTAACTTAATCACACTGCATTAATTTCCAGGCGATTTAGAGCTCTTGGAGAGCCAAGGCCAGCCAAGAGCATTTGTAGTCTGGTGACAACCCCCTTTTAAGCTAATTTATCCAGAACTCTGATTTCCCTCACTTCTTGCTCATTCCTTCTTTGACCTATTGCATTTCATGTTGAGTTTATCCATCAACATGCTGCACCTGTCAGTCAAGTGAGCATTTTTTAAGAACACGTTGTACTGAGAACCACTTAAGCATTGAATGCAGAGAAAGCAGTGCTACCTCAGTTTTGCTGGAAGTAGACTTCTTTGATAGTTTTCTTTCTTTGATGAAGTTTCTGTATTTTCATGTTGTAAGTGGAAATAATTTTTTTTGTTTGTTTCGTTTGCCTTGGAGCCAAAGTTTCTGTTCCTGGTGGTTGGGAAACTGTGTGCCGGCCAACTGACTTTAAGGAAAACTGTGGTATGCAGCTCTGCTTGAATTGTTATTTATTTATTTATTTATCTCTTTGAATATCATGAGCTTACTTGTCTGGCAAAGGCAGAAGCCTGGAGTGGGCCTGAATTGTGCCAAACAAATATCAAAGTATATTTAATAGTTAAATTTGTGCCCTTTCCCTTCTTGCTGCACCCATGTTGTCACTTAACCCCCAGGAGTCAACTTTTTGTTAAAGTCAGGCTCATGTGGGGTAATGTGATGACTGTTTAGGTTTACAGGACCCTCCTCTCCTTTCCCTACCCCCAAATATGTATATATACATATATAAAATATGTATATATTTTAACTATATAAAATATATATGTGTACACATATATGTATCTATATTCCTTTGTTTCTTTGCCTGCTTATACTGGCCATAAAAGAGGGAGCTGCCTTCAATGTATAAAGTATAGGAAGAGTGCCAGGGAATGCCATAATGGAGGCTTTTGGGTCTGAATTTGGACCACTTTCACTAAAGAGAACATGAGCTTGTTCAGCCCTTTCCTCACAAGAGGGTCCAGTTCCCCAGACTTCTCCACACGCTCGCTCCATAAGGCCAGCTTTGGCCAGACTGCCTCAGGGGCTTGAGGAGCTGACTCTGGTCCTACCTGGTTTCAGTTAGAGGATCCTCCTGTTATTTTTCCATTTAAAAAGTATGTCCTCAGAAAACTTTACTGGAAGGATGGGTGGCAGGAACTTGTATAGTTCAGCTTCCAACACTTTGGAACAGATTAAAAAGGGAATCTTTTAAATAAAAACTTATTAAAAAAAAAAAAAGACAAAAACTCAGCCAGGCATGGTGGTGCACGCCTATAATCCCAGCACTTTCGGAGGCTGAGGTGGGTGGATTGCTTGAGGTCATGAGTTCGAGACCAGCTTGGCCAACATGGTGAAACCCCATCTCTACTAAAAATACAAAAAAATTAGCCAGACACAGTGGCGTGTACCTGTAGTCCCAGCTATTTGGGAGGCTGAGGCTGGAAAATCACTTGAACCCGGGAGGCGGAGGTTGCAGTGAGCCGAGATCGGGCCACTGCACTCCAGCCTAGGCAACAGAGTGAGACTCTGTCTCAAAAAAAAATAAATAAATAAAGACAAAAACTCTAAAATTGATTTAAAATCCAGCTGTATGGTACCTACAAAAGATATACGTAAAACAGAAACCAAAAAGTTTAAAATTTCAAAAGAGGAGGGCAGACACAGGATATAGCAGGCAAATGCAAATGTAAAGAAAGCAGTGAGAATAACGTTATCAGATAAGGGAGAATATATGTGAAAACAAAAATAAGCCTCTTTTTGGTGAAAGAAGGTATCAAATCAGAAATGCAAGATTCCCCTTCCAAAAATCATCCACTTTTTTCAACAAATTACCTTGTTAGCTGAATACAGAAGGCAAAATAAAAGTCCAAATCCAGGTTGCTATGTGCTGGTCTTCCTTGCTTCCCTAAACCCTCACCACCTTAAGTCCTGGCTCTGTGCTCAGCATGCGCAGAGCTTCTATTGTGAAATGCACTGCAGATCCCCGTGCCAGCTGTGGGCTGGTAAAGTGCTGATTTAGGTAACTACAAAAGGCTTCTTAAAAGGTGAACATGGCCAGACATGGTGGCTCACGCCTGTAATACCAGCACTTTGGGAGGCCAAGGCAGGTGGCGGATGGCTTGAGCTCAGGGGTTCGAGACCAGCCTGGGTAACATGACGAAACCTTGTCTCTACAAAAAAGACAAAAATTGGCTGGGCGTGGTAGTGTGCACCTGTGGTCCCAGCTATTCGGGAGGCTGAGGTGGGAACATGGCTTGAGCTCAGGAGGCAGAGGTTGCAGTGGGCTGAGATCACACCACTGTAGTCCAGTCTGGGCAATTCAGCCAGGCCTTGTCTCCAAAAAAAAGAAAAAAGAAAAAAAAAAAGAAAGTGAACATGGAACTTAGTAATATACATTTGTCATCAATTCCTTAAGATGTTTTATTCCTTTCCTCCTTTCCATTTAGTATGAGTCATTTTCCCCCTAGCACTACATTCAGTACAGGATACCTCATAGTGTTTAAGGAGCTTCATGGGTTTATCTTACTCATACAGAGGTTTTCTTAAACCTAAAAACAAAGGCTTTTTGATACAGTTATTGTTTGAAAAAACTGCATATCAAATAGAATAAGGACATTATAAATGATGAAAGCATAATTTATAAGTAAAATATGATAGTGATGAAGTTTTAGGCACTGCAGCAGCAAAGTGTCTTCAGATATGATACTGAGCAATCCACATTTTTTCTTTACAAAATCACAATCATATTTAAACTCCAATTACAACAGCAACAGAAAATGAAACACCTAAGAATACATTTAAGAGAAATATGCAAGATCTTCATGATTGGTCTGTAAAGAGTTAAAGGCCATAATGAAAGATCTGAATAGAATAAAGTATCATTTTTTTACTTAATATGAAGAATAAACATCGTAAAGATGGCAATCTTCCTCAAACTGACTTACACACTTTGAAATTCAAATCAGAACTGCATAATTTTACTTTTTTACTATTACTGTTGGAACTTCATAATAAAATTCGACTATTAAGGATAAATATACGAGAACAGTAACGAAACTTTTGAAACGAAAAATGAGGGAAGAGTTGCTTTACGAAATACCAAAATGGGCCGGGCGCAGTGGCTCACTCCTGTAATCCCAGCACTTTGGGAAGCTGAGGCAGGCAGATCACGAGGTCAGGAGTTCGAGACCAGCCTGCCAGCATGGTGAAACCCCGTCTCTACTAAAAATACAAAAAGTTAGCCAGGCGTGGTGGCACGTGCCTGTAGTCCCAGCTACTGAGGAGGCTGAGGCAAGAGAATGCCTTGAACCCGGCAGGCAGAGGTTGCAGTGAGCCAAAATCATGCCATTGCACTCCAGCCTGGGAGACAGAGCAAGACTCTGTCTCTCAAAAAAAAAAAAAAAAAAAAAAGCAAAATGAATTCTGAGACAACAAATACAATAGTGTGGTACTACAACAGAAATAGAACAATGGAATAGAATCCAGAAAAATAAACATATATATAAATTTTAAAAATAAACTCATATATAAATATATGTAAACTATATTATAATATAAACTCTCATATATATTTCATATATATGTGACAATTTGGCATATTTTAAAGGTTCCATTTCAAGTCCACGGAGAGTGAGCAGATTATTTCAGTAGATAACATCAGCTCCAATGCCATCTCCTGAGAGGGGCCACTCCTCTGCTGAGCTAAAACAGCCCTGAGTGACACTCTACCATGTTCCCCTGCTGCGTCCTCATCACAGCACCTAACACTATCCTCAACCACATTTCCTCTTTATTGTCTGCATCCCCTGTGGAAAATAAGAGCTCAGAGAAGGAGATCTTGCCTCTCTTACTCACTGCAACACTCCCAGTATCCAGAACACGGCACACCACATGGCAGAGAAGCGCTAAATATGTTTAATGAGTGGATGGATGGATGAAATGCTTCACCACATCATGTTAAATGAAGTTAGATCCCTACTTCACATCACAGACAATACATTCCAGATAGCACAAGGATGTAAATTTAAAATTATAAAACTAATAGAAAACACAGAAAAAGATTTATATTATCTTGGGGTACAGAAAACTTTTCTTTTTTTTTTCTTTTTTCTTTTTTGGAGATGGAGTCTCACTCTGTTGCCGGGCTAGAGTGCAGTGGCACAATCTTGGCTCACGGCAACCTTCACCTCCCGGGTTCAACCGATTCTCCTGCCTCAGCCTCCCCAGTAGCTGGGACTACAGGCACGTGCCACCATGCCCAGCTAATTTTTGTATTTTTGTATTTTGTAATTTTGTATTTTTAGTAGAGACGGAGTTTCACCGTATTGGCCAGGATGGTCTCAATCTCTTGACTTCGTGATCCACCCACCTCGGCCTCCCAAAGTGTTGGGATTACAGGCGTGAGCCACCATGCCAGGCTCCTTTTCATAGCATGATCCCAAAGCCAAGTAAAGAGAAAGGAAATTTAACTGCATAAAACTTCAAAACTTTTTTGTAGCAAAATATATTATAAACAAATTTAAAAGAAACATGACAGAATACTGGCAACGTATAGCAAAGGAATACTATCCACTTTATAGGAAAGACCTCTTTTATATGTAAATAACTCAATATAAAAATGGGCAAAGGGTGTAGACAGGTATTTTAAAAGGCTGGAAGAATGTACATCATAGTTGTTTCTGAGGGTTGGAAACTTGGAATTCTCTCTCATTGCCTTTAAATTTTTAAAAAGGGATAGTAGATATGATTAGTCTATATGCCCAATATTTATATTCAAAAAAATATTAAATTTAAAGGCAAATAAAAGTAACACCTAGACAATTCATACTACCATCACTGGCCAATATGGGAAAGATGAAACTACGGAGAAAGATGAAAAAAGGAAAACAGCTCTAATGTTGCATTGATATGTCCCAAGTCTATTACTGTACTTCGTAATTGCATTCCATTTACAGGTTATAAACACATCTAGTTGACAATTACACTTTATTTCTCAACATCTGAGTTACTCATTTCTCATCTACTGTACAGTTCCAAGTGATTCATCAGTAATTCAGAGAAGCAGCAACAAAAGTGACAAAATGCCTGTCATCAGCTGCTATCAAGTGTCTAGACTAATGTCCCTTAAGGCAGACTGGTTAACTAAACTATGATATGCCCACATAATCAAAGAAAGAAGCCCCGATGTACTGATATGGACAGGTCTCCAAGATATATTGTGAAATGCAAAATAGCTAAAAATAGAACAGGTGCAGACTCCTGAGTAAATATTATCTGTTATCAACTGGATTAAAAATTGGGAAAATACATACTTTTATGGGCTTTTGTAGTCATCTCTGGAAAGCTACATAAGAAATGAGAATCATTACCTTTTTATGAGAAGAGATAATAGGGAGCTTGGAGACAAGAGTAGGAAGAAGATTTATTTTAAGTGAATGCTTATTTTTGAATTCTGAACACTGACTGTATCAGCCATTCAAATTTTAATTAATCACAATCTGAATCAAATTATCAGCAAACATCAAACAAACCCACATTGAGGATCATTCTATGAAATAATTGGCCTGTACTCTTCAAAAGTATCCAAGTCATTGAAGATCAATAATGAACTTTTCTAGATAAAAGGAGACCAAGGAGATACGACAGCTAAATACAATGTGTGATGTGGATTGGATTCTGCACCAGATAAAGGACAGTTGTAGGACAGGTGGCAAAATCCAAGTAAGGTTTGTAGTTTGGCTAATAGTATTGTATCGATGTAAGTTTTCCTTATTTTGATAACTGTATTTTTGCTAGGTATGATAATAGAAAGCACACACGGACACTTAGAGTGAAATGGGCATGTCTGTAATTTATTCTCAAATGGTTCAGAAATATATATACACAAACATGTGTGTGTATACAGGAAGAGAAAAATGGCAAAATGTTAATTTAGATGAAGACTATCCAGAAATTGTTTTATTTTTGCAGCATTTGTTGTTGTCTCAGTCTGTCTCCCAGGCTGGAGTGCAGTGGAGTGATCTCACGTCACTGCAACTTCCGCCTCCTGGGTTCCAACGATTCTCCCACCTCAGCCTCCTGAGTAGCTGGGATTACAGGTGTGTGCCACCACGCCCGGTTCATTTTTTGTATTTTTAGTAGAGACGGGGTTTCACCATGTTGGCCAGGCTGGTCTCGAACTCCTGACCTCAAGTGATCCACCTGCCGTGGCCTCCCAAAGTGCTGGGATTACAGGCATGAGCCACCGTGCCCGGCCTTGCAGCAGTTTTTAAAGTCTGAAATTATTTCATAATAAAAGTTAAAAAAAAAACAAACCAAAAAACCACAAGATGCATTTTCCACCCTTGAAAATAACTAAAATTTAAAAAGCTTATAATACCTAGTGTTATGAACTGTGTCCCCCAAAAAAGGTATGTTGAAGTCCCAGCTTCTAGTACCTTGCAATAGGACCTCATCTGAAAACAGGTTGTCTCAAATATGACTGGTATCCTTATAAGAAAAACGGCTATTTGAAGACATGAACACATAAGGATAACATCAGATGACAAAGGAGGTAAGGATTAGAGCGATGCAGCCATGAACCAAGGAACACCAAAGAGTGCCAGCAAACCACCAGAAGCTAGAAGCTAGGAAGAGTAAAGGAAGGATTCCCCCACCAGTTTCAGAGAGCAAGGCCCTGCAAATGCCTTCATTTCAGACTTCTGGCCTCCAAAACTGTGAGACAATAAATTTCTATTGTTTCGAGCCACTCAATTTGTGGCACTTTATTACAGCAGCTCTTGGAAATGGATACACCAAGTATGGAAGAGCATGTAGAGCGACTGGAATTCTCAAATACTGCAGGAGGGAATGTACAATGGTACATATACTTTGGAAAACAGTTTAGCTGTTTGTTACAAAGTCAAATGTACACTTGACCTAGGTATTTACCCAAGAGAAATTAAAGTATATATCCACAAAAAGACTCATACATGAATGTACAGAGCAGTTTTATTCATAATAGCTAAAAACAGGAAACAACTTGAAATGTCTGTCACAAGTGAATGAACAAAAGGTGGTATATTCAACTGTGTACTACTTAAGACAAAAAGGAACAAACTATTACTACACACAATATCATGTAAAGACCTGAAAAACATTACGTTGAGCAAAAAAAGCCAGGCATAATATATACTGTTTGATTTCATTGACATGAAGTTCTACAAAGGGCAATACTGTAGGGACAGAAATCAAACCAGTGACTTCCTGGGGTGGGGGACGTGGAGTAGAAGTGGCACGAGGACACTGTCTGGCTGGGGTGGGGGACGTGGAGTAGAAGTGGCACGAGGACACTGTCTGGCTGGGATGGGGGACGTGGAGTAGAAGTGGCACGAGGACACTGTCTGGCTGGGGTGGGGGACGTGGAGTAGAAGTGGCACGAGGACACTGTCTGGCTGGGGTGGGGGACGTGGGGTAGAAGTGGCACGAGGACACTGTCTGGCTGGGGTGGGGGACGTGGAGTAGAAGTGGCACGAGGACACTGTCTGGCTGGGGAGGGGGACGTGGAGTAGAAGTGGCACGAGGACACTGGCTGGCTGGGGTGGGGGACGTGGAGTAGAAGTGGCACGAGGACACTGTCTGGCTGGGGAGGGGGACGTGGAGTAGAAGTGGCACGAGGACACTGGCTGGCTGGGGTGGGGGACATGGAGTAGAAGTGGCACGAGGACACTGGCTGGCTGGGGTGGGGGACGTGGAGTAGAAGTAGCACGAGGACACTGTCTGGCTGGGGAGGGGGACGTGGAGTAGAAGTGGCACGAGGACACTGGCTGGCTGGGGTGATGCAAAAGTTCTGTACCTTGACTGAGGTGGTGGCTATGTTGGTGCATAAATTTGTCAAAACTCAATGAATTCTATGCTTAAATTGGGTTATTTTATTAAACTGTGCCTCAGAAAAAGCTGATTTAAAAATTAACACTATTTTGGCTACATAAATTAAAATGTAGGTTACTGACAACCAAACCACAACAGTCATCAACCAAAATCTTCTTAATGCTTCCCCTTTCAACATTTCCCTCTTCCAGAAACTCCCTTTGTCCAATACCCCCATTTTAAAAGTTATTTTGCCTTTTATAACTGAGTTTGATAATACTGAAGAAAGCAGTACAAATGGAAATCACAACAGTTTATACTTGCCTCCACGAAGCTTTCTTTAAACTGGTCTCTAATAAATAAACAAGTGATCCTAATAAATCAACGACCCCTAATACATACTTTTATGAGAAGAGAAAATGCCGTTAAGTCTTCAGTATTCCAGACAACAAGGCTAAGTAAGTTTAACCTTAAAAAAAAAAAAGAAGTTAGGGCCAAGTCTTCTGATGCCTTATTTTCTTTTTCAGAGAAGCCTGGAATCCTCACCTACTATCCCAGCTCCATGCTTCCCTCCATCTCACGGACACTACTTTTTCCTAGGAAAGTTTTGATTGTGCGAACTCCCTTATCAAAATTCCTCAGACTGACCTCCACCCCCATGGCCACCACCCTGCCAAACACACAAACTCCTCCTTCCCGACACTTGGTCCTAAAATTTTTATCCGATTTCTTCTACTCCAGCAGAGCATTTCTCACTATCAGTCACTGCCCCCTTCAGTCCACCTCTAAAAGTCTATACACAGGCTCTTGGCTGGGATGATACTAAGAATGCCTACAACTTACTGAATAACTTCAACATTCCAGGAGCCATGCCAGGCATTTTTTACTTTTATTATTTTATTTGAACTTTCAACAGACCTATGAAGTAGCTATTACTATTAAATGAAATCAGCCAGGTGACGTTCTTCATGTCACCTATATGGCAGACAGGTAATGCTGTAATTCCTATTATGACCATGAGAAAATAATGTTTCAGGAAAGCCAAGCCTCTTGCCAAGACAATGTAGCTATTAAATGGTAGAGCTGGGATTTAAACTCTGGACACACTGACTCCCTTATAACAAATCCTCTCCAGTTATCCCTTCCCAACCCCTGAGATGGGCAAACACTACCTACTTCTCCTGGCCACCACCCTGATCCTCCCCTTCACTCCAGCTTGGAATACGGATAAACTGGGTCCCTAACCACACTTGTTCTTATTACCATATTCAGGTGCAATTATGACTGTATACCATGCAGATGTGCCCTCTTTTATGATCCCTGAGAGCCCATAAGCCCTATAAGCACCAGCACCAGCTTGCATATAACTTTTTTCCCTTTCTGACCCTTGAACAGCACCAAGAACACAGCAGGCCAGGGTATCCAGCTGAGTAAGTGGCAGCTAGGAACAGAGGTCAGGAACACAGAGGGGGCTTTGTGAAAAATATCCAGCATTCTGCTATTTCAATAACCCTGTCCTGAGCAGTGAGGCCCACATGCAGTACAGGAGGAAGGGGGAGGTTTGAGAGGGAAAAATGAGCTCACCCGAGCTCCCAATGGCAGAGGCCAAGCAGCCATTGCCTTCTCCTTCCTTCCTGTGGGGTTCTTCCTTGGGGAGGGACAGAAGCCAAAGGAGGCAGAGCTGAGGGAAGGGAAAGAAGCCATGAGAAACAAGACTCCTGCAACAGCAACAATGAAAATACCTATAAATAAACTAAATAAGACCTGGATAGTAGCTACATAAAGAAAATGATTTTCATGTATTAAGTTCACTTCATTATGCCTATTTAGCTATACAAAGACGAAAGACAGAGAGACATGACATATTCTTGCACAATATGTCTCAATATACCAGGATGTCATTTCTTTAATTCATAAACTTAACACATTCCCAGCCAAGTTATGCCTAAGTAACAATATTTTACAGTTAATATGGGCCATGCGCGGTGGCTCACGCCTGTAATCCCAGCACTTTGGGAGGCCAAGGTGGGTGGACCACTTGAGGCCAGGAGTTCGAGACCAGCCTGGCCAAAATGGCAAAATCCTGTCTCTACCAAAAATACAAAAATTAGAGAGTGGTGGTGGGCGCCTGTAATCCCAGCCACTCAGGAGTCTGAGGCAGGAGAATCACTTGAACCGGGGAGGTAGAGGTTGCAGTGTCGAGATCACACCACTGCACTCTAGCCTCGGTGACAGAGCAAGACTCCGTCTCAATAAAAAAAAAGAAGTTCACTAATTATGGAAAAAATATTTAAGTTGTGTGTTACAACAACTAAGACTTTTTTAAAAAAGAATACTGATGAGAGACAACTTGCCCACCAGTATTCATAAAGCTACAAGAATTGGAACACAATATTACTGACTTATTTACCAGATACATTGTTGACCACCTACTGTATACTAGGCACCATTGCATGGGGTAGGGGTGGATACAGCTGTAAATAAAACAGATAAACTCTCCGCAATCATGGATGTTATAGCCGAACAGGGAAAAGCATCAATGGAACAAATTAAAATTCTACCAACCTAAATGGTTCAAATACACATGTATTTATGTATGTGTGTGTATATATATATTTCATTCAAGATATGAAATAAGTGACATTTCATATCAACGAAGAAAAAATTACTAAGTAACTTGTAACAAAGGCTTACCATTTGGAAAAAAATAAAAATGTACACAAAAAATGAAAGTACTAAGAGAAACTACAAACATTTTTGTAATCTCGTGGGACAGACAGCTTCTCTGCCAGTGATGTCAAACACCCAAACGTGAAGAAAAGGTTTTCATGTGTGACCATAAGAACCTGTGACGTTTCTGCACAGTCAGGAAACATGCTTATGTATCAGATACAAAATTAAAATACAAAATGCAAACTGCGTGAAAATATTCATTAGTGTTCAAAATGCAAATGTAAACAATCCTATCTTTTGCACCTCTCAGAAGTTCAAGAGAATACTAACATTCACAGTTGGTGTGGGTAAATCTGGCACTCTTACACTGCAAGTGTTTATATAAACTGCAACTTTTCTGGAGGGAATAAGACAGGAGGTATCAAAATCCTTACTGTACCCTGGACCTAGAAATTTCACTTTAAGAGATTTATAGAATAAGACAAAATGCAAAGATGTATGTAGCCAGATGGCCTATACTGTTTATAATACTGAAAAAAAAAAAGAAAAAAGAAAACCCTAACACAAAAACCTAAGGAGAGGATTCAATACGACACATCCATACTTTCCCTCACACTCATTAAAATGACGTAGCTCTATTTAAAATCTGGTATAAGTAGATGGTGTCAACATATTCCAATGTTTTTTTCAGATGTATTCTCTATCTTCATTGGGTGTTTAGGCCAGTAAAAAATTACAAGGCTTAAGATTTGTGCACTTCAAACCCCTTACCAAATGCATCTCATGACTCAGTTTTAAAAGATAGATGGAGAAAAAGCTGCTAATATTCATATTTCTGTTTAAAAACAAAGTACAAAGTGTTTCTATGCTTATACACATATCCACGCTGCCATGCAGATGGAGATAGATTTTGAATGATTGTTTTAATCTCAATTTTCCAGTTGTGCTACAGTGAAATCGCTTAAGGAAAAAAAGAAAAGATTCCCCGAGGTCGAAACCTGCACCAGGTTGGCCTCCCCATTCTTATTGTGAGATGGGAGGGGAGCCCACGCCAGCGCTCTCGGAATGAGATCCAGAGGGCGGGTCCGGAGACCCGGTTTACACAAAGGGCAGATGCTGCACAGGGAGACCCAGCCTCTGGCCCAGAATCCCCGGGATGTCCGCGGGTTAGGTTCGCTCCACGGTCGCAGCGTGTCCCGGGACAAAGCTGCGCGCGGCTGGGGAAAGCCAGGGAGGAACCCGGGTCCGAGCGACTCTTGGAACCTTGGGCCCCTCCCTGACCCGTGGTGGCCGGCGTGGCCCTTGTTCGAGCCCCCATCCCCGCTGCTCCGGGGCTGTGATTCCACCTCGGCGCCTGCCCAGGACAGCGCCGAAGGACACTCAGCTGCCAGCGTGCTCCCGCCGCCAGCTCCTGGGGAAGAGGGAGCGCACCTGGAGCCGGAGGCCCGGCGCTCCACAGGCGCAGTGAGGCCGCACCCCCGGCCCATCTGCTGCGGGCCCGCCCCTCAACCCTCAGGAAGCTGGGGCCTCGCCCCGCAATCCGGAGCTCCTCCTGCGGGGGCCTACAAGACTCACGGATGGCGCGCGCCCCCGCCACCGGCCCCGCACTCACCCTCTCCCAGCAGGAGCGGGAGCAGCGGCGACCGACACAGCCGCGACCGGCGCTTACAGCCCGGAGCGCCAGACTACATTTCCCACAAGGCTGCGGGGCTGCAGTGCGGCCAGGCCGTCGGCGTGTGCGAGAACGGGGCCCCAGAGGGCAAGGCTGTGCCAGTGGCCAGCTGAGGTGGCCCACGGTGTGGCCTCTGCAGGTCATCGGTGTGTCCAGGCGGGACGCGGGGTTCCCAGGCGGCCCCTTACCCCGGCTAAAGTCGTCTCTCTGGCCAGGCCTGCAATCTCAGCACTTTGGGAGGCGGGTGGGTGAATCACCTGAGGTCAGGAATTCAAGACCAGCCTGGCTAACATGGTGAAACCCTGTCTCTACTAAAAATACAAAAAAAATTAGCCAGGCGTGGTGGCGGGCACCTGTAGTCCCAGCTACTCGGGAGGCTGAGACAAGAAAATCACTTGAACCTGAGAGGCAGAGGTTGCAGTGAGCCGATATTGCGCCACCTCACTCCAGCCTGGGTGACAAGAGCAAGAGAGTGTCTTAAAAAAAAAAAAAAGGCATTAATTTACCAGCAAATAAAATATTTTAAACTTTTATGTATTTAATAACATAAGATACAAAATACATAAAGCAAACATGGGCAGAACCCATTTTTAATTTTGTTTTCTTTCTTTTTTGTACAGATGGGATCTTACTCTGTTGCCCAAGCTGGTCTCAAACTTCTGGGCTCAAGCAACGCTCCTGCCTTGGCCTCCCAAAATGCTGGGATTATAGGCGTCAGCCACCACCCTGGCCTCAGAGTTTTTAACCTACCTTCTCAGTAACTAATAGAAAAGCTGACAAAAAGGTCACTATAGATATGAAATATTTGAAAAGCAAAATTAGTTTTATGTTAATGAATAGACATGTAGACTACTCCACCCCAAAACTGAAGAAAACACATGGAAAAGCATATATTTACTTAAGAAATGATCTCATACTAGTCTGTAAAGTAGCCTCAACACATTTCAAGCAATTGGTATCACACAAGACCATATTCTTTGACAATGTAATTAAGCTAAACATTTTTTAAAAGACTAGAAACTTTTTAGAAAAGATTTAGGTAAAGGGAATATTTAGAGGAAATTTTGCAGCCTTCAAAGCATACAGTAAAGAAGAAAAGAAGGCAGATTGGGTACAACACATCTAATTTTGTTCCCTCCTAACACGTACTGATATAGTTCAGGACACACACACTCACTGCCAAAATATGGCACCTCATCATTTGAGAAAACAGCAGAAACAGGAAGGACTTTTCCACACATCTCCCACGAAGCAGGTTGTAAAACCTAGGAAGAATTTCCTAACGTCCCCTGAAGCAGGTCGTAAGATTCTCATGTGAGATTTGCACTCCCTATACCTGGAGGAAAGTAACATCTTTATTGCTGAAGACACACAGTCACAGAGAAAACTCTTGAACAAACAGGCCTTGCTAAGTTGCCCCCAGTGTATTACTATTAGATCATATCCTCTTTGTCCATTTATATTTCTCTGTGACTTCATCAAATTTAGCATAAAAATACACAACTTTAACTGTTTCTTTGGGACTTCATTTCCTTATGTAGGCTGCTGTGTCATGTAAAACTTGTATTAAAGAAACTTGTATGTTTTGCTCTTGTTAATTTGTCTTTTGTCTTAGGGGTCTCAGCCACCAACATAGGACGCGCAAGAAAAATGTATTTTGCCTCCTCTGTACCACTAAAAGCAAATGTAACAGATTGTTTGAAAACTTGTTAATTCACAAGGTCAGGAAAAACAAGTAAGGACACACCAGCAACATTTTAAATCTTGGAAACGGATGTTATTTTCTTGGCAAACCTGAAATAATGCCAAATCCCAGAGAGCTGTAAGAAAGGTAAAGGCCAGGCTGGGTACAGTGGCTCATGCCTGTAATCCCAGCACCCTGGGAGGCCGAAGTCAGGGGATCACTCAAGACCGCAAGTTCCAGGACAGCCTGGGCAACATGGCGAGATGCTGTCTTTACAAAAAATAAAGGTAGGAAGGAATGGAGTCTCTCTACTGTTTTGTGCAAATGTAGTCGGGTTTATGATCAGAACTGCTGTTATGTACAATGCTGCTAACCTCCAAGCCTTGGAGGGAAAAGGTTAAGGATGAACTTTCTGTTCTTGGGCACACAACCAAAAGGCCTGGACAATGAGAAACTTTTTCTGGACTGGTTCCACTAATGCTTTTGTCCGTGAAATCACGAAGTACCTTGCCAGTAAGGGACTGCCCTTGAATGTTCTTTTGATATTGGACAATGACCCTGGTCACCCAGAACCCATGAGTTCAATGTCAAAGGCACTGAAGTGGTCTACTGTATTAATATCAGATAATGTGGACTTTGTAGACAAAGAAAATTGAGACAGGAAAATTACATAATGATAAAAGGGCTAATCTACCAAAAAGTTATAGCAGTCAGTTTTTAATTTTTTAAAATGTTTCGTAGAGACAGGATCTACCTATGTTGCCCAGACTGGTATCGAACTCCTGGCCTCAAGTGATCCTCCCACCTCAGCCTCCAAAAGTGCTGAGATTACAGGCACATGCCACCATGCCCAGCTTTGTTGCTGTTGTTGTTGTTGTTTTTTGAGACAGTCTGTCGCTTTGTTGTCCAGGCTGGATGCAATCTCGGCTCACTGCAACCTCCGCCTCCCAAGTTCAAGCGATTCTACCTCACCTGAGTAGCTGGGATTACAGGCACTAGCCACTGTGCTCGGATAATTTTTGTATTTTTAGTAGAGACAGGGTTTCACCATGTTGGTCAGGCTGGTCTCGAACTCCTGACCTCAAGTGATCCACTTGCCTCAGCCTCCTAAAGTGTTGGGATTACAGGCGTGAGCCACTGCGCCCGGCCTAGCTTTGTTTTTTTCTTTCAAATTCTACAGCAGGCTTAAAAATGGTTTATGTTCAAACATTACAATACTAAGGGATTCTGTATCTATGTATTTTTTACCAGAGTCTTTATATTTTCATAGTTTCATGTTGTTATTACCTTTCAATTTAAAGAATTCCCTTTAGCATCTTTTTGAGACAGGAGTCTGTCACCCAGGCTACAGTGCGGTGGTGTGATCTTAGCTCACTGCAACCTCCACTTCCCAGGTTCAAGGGATTGTGCCTCAGCCTCCCACCTAGCTGGGACTACAGACGCCCACCACTACACGTGGATAATTCACATAATTTTAGTAGAGATGGGGTTTCACCATGTTGGCCAGGCTGGTCTCAAACTGCTGACCTCAAGTGATCCCCCCGCCTCAGCCTTCTGAAGTGCTGGGATTATAAGCATGAGCCACCTTACCCGGCCAGATCTCCATTTCTTTAGGGTTGGTTTCTGGAGGTTAGTTTCTTTTTATTGGGATGTGTTTCACTCTTTCTTTACAGCCTTGTGATCTTTTGTTGAGACTTGACCACTTGAAAAAAACAGTCCCCTCCAGCAGTCTCTAAGGATTGGCTTTGTGTAAAAGAAGACCGTCATCATTTAGCACAACTAGAGATTCTGGGATTGTCTCAAACTTTTTCTGGGGATGCTACTTCTCTGGGCTTGTGCACAGAATGAGGTTTTTGCCTGCTTCTTCTTTAGAGATTGTAACCTCTTGTTCCCCTTGCTGTCTGCAGTATTACAGTCTCTCTGGTGATGTAACAAGCTCCAGTGCTCACCTTTGTTCTCAGCAGCCCCCAATCTAGCATCCAAACTACTAATTCCAGTCAGTACTCTGAGTCTCATGAGACAAACCATGCCCTTGGAAAGCACCATGAAAAGCTAAAACACTGGATGCACAGCCCACTCTTCTTCCCTCCTGAGGGAAAAACTGGCAGCTGAGTGTTTTTTTCCTGATCACACCTTGCCACGCTAGGCAGTGGGAGTGGCTAGGGTGGGTAAAATGTCAAAAATTTTCTACCATTTTGATGTGTCTCTGTCCTTGCACTCACCTGGCGTGCTACAACTTCTTAGTGTCTAGAATTCTCACAAAAGCAATTTGTAGTTTGATGTTTAGCTGATGTGTCTGTGGGAGAACAAGGGACTAGGGCTTCCTATTCTGCCGATGTCATTTCCCTGGGTTAAAACTTATTTTACTTCAGTACTTGAAAAATGTTGTGCCTCTGTGGTTTCTAAGTGAAAAATCTGTTTTCATTAGATTTTTATCCCTATAGGTAAACTGTGATTTTTCTCTCTAGCCTCCAGTGTTTTTTTTGTTTGTTTTTTTGTTTTTGAGACAGTGTCTCACTCTGTCCCCCAGGCTGGAGTGCAGTGGCGCAATCTCGGCTCACTGCAAGCTCCACCTCCCAGGTTCACGCCATTCTCCTGCCTCAGCCTCCTGTGTAGCTGGGACCACAGGCGCCTGCCACCACGCCTGGCTAATTTTTTGTACTTTTAGTAGACAGGGTTTCACCGTGTTAGCCAGGATGGTCTCGATCTCCTGACCTTGTGATCTGCCCACCTCAGCCTCCCAAAGTGCTGGGATTACAGGAGTGAGCCACCAAGCCCAGCCTAGCCTCCAGATTTTCTTTTAGTTTTCCGAAGTTGAACTGTGATATGTTTTGGTGTGGATTCCTTGGATTCATGCTTCTAGAGGTTTGCTCAGCTTCTTGAATGTATAGGTTCATACCTATTGCTAAACTTGGGAATTTTCAGCCATTAATATTTCAAAGATTTTCTAGGCCCACTTTTTCTTCTCTCTCTCCCCTGAACTCTGATTATATTGTTAGATCTTTTATTACAATTCTACAGATTCCTGAGTCTCTGCTTTTCTTCCAGTCTGTTTTCTCTCTGTATTTAAGACTGAGTAAATTCTACTTTATCTTTAAATCCACTGATACTTTCCTCTGTCCTCTCAGTTCTGCTGCTGTGCCTATGCAGTGAATTTTAAAATTTTTGGTTACTGTATTTTAGTTCTAAAATTTCCGTTTTTTTTTTGTTTTTTTTTTTTTTTTTGAGACAGAGTCTTGCTCTGTTGCCCAGGCTGGAGTACAGTGGCACGATCTTGGCCCACTGCAACCTCTGCCTCCCGGGTTCAAGTGATTCTTCTGCATCAGCCTCCCGAGTAGCTGGGACTACAGGTGCGCACCACCATGCCCAGCTAATTTTTGTATTTTTAGTAGAGACAGAGTTCCACCATATTGGCCAGGCTGGTCTCGAACTCCTGACCCCATGGTCTGCCCGCCTCAGCCTCCCAAAGTGCTAGATTACAAGCATGATCCACCACGCCCAGCCTAAAATTTCCATTTTTTCTTTCTCACTTCTTTGCTGAGAGTTTTTATTTCAAATATTTTCATAATTGCTCTTTGAAACGTTTATGATGGCTACTTAAAAATCTTTGTCAGATAATTCTAACATGTCTATCATTAACTTGTTAGTATCTACTGATTGTCATTTTTCATTCAAGTGATCTTCCTGGATCTTGACATGATTTTTTGTTGAAACTTGAACATTTTTAGTATTATGTTATGAAACTCTGAATCTTATTTGACCAGGTGGACTAGAAGCTCATGTTCCTCATTTGACGTATCTAGATACCACATAAGGGTCTCCATTTTACTTGTGTGGGTGAAATTTCTGGGAGCTTACTAGGCCTACACTGATATAACTATGGTTGGGAGGTATTAAGTGTGACTTATTCCTGCTCCCTATGTAGCCTCCAATGACACTGTGGGGTTGGAATGTGGTCTGATTACTGCTGGGCAGGGGTAAATGGTCTTACTCTGCACTAGGCCTCCACTTAACACCAACCTACCAGAAAAGGGGAATGATGCCTTCTTCCTACTGGGTGGGGATAGCAGCCCTTTCTGCACATGGTCCCCGCTATTATTGCTGGCATGGGGCAGGTGCTCATTACCAGCCAGTGTGGATGAATAACCTAGCTCTTGGCACTCTCTGATACCACCCAGCAGGGGTTTTATGAGCCTTCTTTTCATCCTTACAAGGGCAGAAGTTTAGACTTCCCACTTGGCTTTTGCTGGTGTGTATAGTCATGGGAGCAGCTTTATCTGGTTGTGTGACCAAAGTAGAGTGGCTGTCTAAAGTTTTCTGTCTTGCTAGACAGAACTTGCTAAACTGCCCAATTCCTGGTCCTTTGAGTAGAGACAGTAGACTTTTCTTAGAGCTTCCTTTTTTGGTGGGTCTCTGTTGGTGTTTCTGGGTTTTCCATCTTCTTCAGCTCCAAGTCTGGGATATATGAGGCAAAAAGAATCACCACTGGCCAGGCATGGTGGCTCACACCTGTATCCCAGCACTTTGGGAGGCCAAGGCAGAAGGATCACTTGAACCCAGGAGTTGGAGCCTGGGAAACATAGGGAAACCCACCCCTACAAAAAAAAATAGCCAGGCACAGTGGTGCATGGTACAGGACTGTGGTACCAGCTATTTTGGAGGCTGGGGTGGGAGGATCACTTGGGCCTCGGAGGTCAAGACTGCAGTGAGCCGTGATCACATCATTGCATTCCAGCCTGGGAACGAACAAGACCGTCTTGAAGGAAAAAAAAAAAAAAGACTCACCAGAGTCTTATGTTTATTTATAATATACAAGGTTTCAGATGTATGGGATAAATAAGGAAAGGTACATCTGTCTATTCCATCTTCCTGGAATAATCTGATTTTTAGGTTGAAAATTTAATTCGTAATACATAATTATTTTATTGAACAATATATACCAATATAGTGTTTTATTGAACAATATATACCAATATAGTGTTTTATTGAACAATATATACCAACAGGAAAATAGTAAGATTTCTTTGGAGTTCTTTTTGTTCTCAGATCAACTCATCTTGAAATCTCTACACAAAAATTCATACGATGAAAATTTTAAATTTTGAGTTGATCTATACCATATACCACCAAGACCCATAAAGCAGGATATTACATAATAATGTAGAATTTCTAGAGCTGAAAAGGCTAGACACCATGTAACTTGAAGCAGAATGGGGGCTGGAAAACATACAAGTTTCTTGACTGTTCAATGCTCTCACAGAAAGTTATATAAGAAAATAAAATATTTTCATTTTTTATAGATCTTAGAAATTACATTACTGAAATAACTGACTTTACAGCTTGGAACAGACTGAACTATGATACTAACTAAATATCTTCTGATCTTGAAAGACTAATTGCACCTAAATTTTTAAAAATATAACCATGTCAGCTTTAATTAAGAATTTTACTATCTGTAGTATTTGGCAAAATACCAGAGCAGTTTGGGACACCAAGAACAGAAATAACCTTTTTAGTTCTCATTAAGAACTCTTCTCACAGACTCGCCCAAAGACCTACTCCCAACAATCAGTCCTTCAGTTTCTCAATGATCAGATAATCTTTGAATCATTTGATCATAATCAGAAATGATCAAATAATCTTTGAATCATCTATTCTATCAGATAATTCTTCCTAAAATAGTCTCAAATTGGTCATTTGCTCCTCAGAAATATAGTGAATTAATATGTCCATCATCATATCCAAACTCCTACAGTCTTAGACAGCATTCAAAGTCTCTGACAGGGTAACTGTAGCTTTCATTTCAAATATTTTTATTTTATCCTACCAGGAGCCCTCTACACCAGCAAAGCCAGTCTCCCTACAGGTCCCTACAAATGCTAGATTTATTCTTCCTCTGAGCCTTTTGCTCCCAGGCCTTGCCTTCCAAGAGTACCTCATTTCCATGTATTATTACATCTTTCCTTGAGACTTGGATAATTTCCTTTTGCTCTAAGTTCTTAGAACACAACGTTGGGCACTTCATCAGGCTTCTGTTTACTAAGGAAGAAACCTGATCTTATATACATATACACATACATGATGATATATCATGACCAAGTAGAATTTATTTCAGGAATGAAACATTGGTTAACACCAAAATTCAAACAATTATCTATTAAAAGAATGAAGAGAAAAACAAAATGATCATTTCAACCAATGCAGAAAATGGACATGACAAAATACTACTCCCTTTTATGATAAAAACTCACATCACACTAGGAATATGAGGGAATGTCCTTATTCTGATAACAGGGATCCACAAACAATTTTTCTGGCAGGGGCAGGGGTGGGGGGGCGCATGTGGGGGAGGCAGAGTCTTGCTCTTTCCCCAAGCTGGAGTGCAGTGGTGGGATCACAGCTCACTGCAGCCTCAACCTCCTGAGCTCAAGCAATTCTCTTACCTCAGCCTCCCAAGTAGCTGGGACTACAGATGTGCACCACTATGCCTGGCTAATTTTGTTGTTGTTGTTGCTCAGGCTGGTCTCCAACTCCTTCCTGGGCTCAAGCAATCCTCTTGTCTTGGCCTCCCAAAGTGCTGGGATTACAGGTGTGAGCCACCATGCCCAGCCTGGAAAGAAAGCTAACATAATATTAAATAGAGAAATATACTTATCATTTCTATTCAACAATGTACTGGCCTGTACTAGTGCTATAATGTAAGAAAAATAAAATGTATTATGATTGGAAAAGAGAAACAGAATGGAAATTATTTAGATTATCATTATGTGTAAAATATCCAAAAAAATCTACAAGCAAGCTATTAGAAATAAGTGAATTTAGCTAGGTTGCTGGATACAAGGTCAATATACAAAAACCAATTATACTTCTATATACTAGGAACAAACAGGAATGAAGTTTTAAAATACAATTTGCAATAATACCATGAACACGTCATGCCTCCTTGCCTTGCTCAAGCTTTTCTCCAATTTGGAATGCCTTTCCATCTACCTCCACATGCCTGTTGAACTCTGACATTTCTTTGCAGTCTCCTCAGATTTACCACTTTTTAAAAAGCATTTTCTCTCCCTCCCTGAGTAGTTTTCAAACTTTAATTCACCAGCAAATTTTTTCCTTATAATTAAAAATAACAACTATCAAATACATGAAACTGACAAACATGGAGCTTTCTTATAGAAACAAGGGTAGGAAATAAAACTCAAGAGCCTTGACTTCCCAAAAAACCTCCAGGACAAGGATTGAAACTCATTAATTTAATATCATTAAGCACTCAAATATCCAAATTGAGACTCTTAAAAAATGAAGTCTTTCTCCTTAGAGAAAATGAGTCAGCAGGCAGAAAATTCCTTCACCTCCAAATCACTTATCTGTATTCCCTTCTTTATGTGGGCTTTTCCATCCCTGAAATTAAGGTTAATTCCTCCACCTATGCTATGACTCCAATTTATTTCACAAAAGTTGTTCCTCCCAGCAATGTCTTCTTTAATCTACCCTCAACATGTGCATACATTATTAAACCAGAAATGGTCCCTAAGTCATTCTTCCCTTCAATTATATTTGAAATAGTCTTCAACAGCCTACTTGTTCACCCTCCTTCAGTGAAATTTCTCTTGCCAAAGTCTACAATTATCTCATTTACCAATTTACTCTCCTTATTACTTCCTTTATAGCACCTGACACTACTGCCCATCTGAGATTCATTTATCCCTTGGGTTCAGTGACATCACTCTTCTGCCTTTTCTCCTACATACAGGGCCATTCCTTTTCATCTTTGCACAATTCCTTCATCTACTTCTTGTATATTGATGTTTTCCTGGGTTGTATCCATGATCCCTTTCTCATTCTAATCTGTACATTCTCATGGCCAATTTACATGTGCCAAGCTTTTCACTAACTATATCTTAATTACTCCTAACTCAAGCCATCCAGCTCAAATTGACCTTTTGGGTTTGGATGACTCATTTAACATGTATAAAATCAAACTGTTTACCCCTATATTGCCTACAAGGCATATCACACCACCATCCATCCAGGTAAAGTTAATCTACCCTGTGTGTCAATCACCTTCCCCAATTATTTGATTGCAAAAACTATGCCTTATCTATTCTTACTACATTAGCATGTGCAACATATTCTTCACTGACTATCCTTGCTTGAGCTTAGAGCCTCCTTCACCCATCACTGGAGGCTGAATTCTAGGCTTCAGTCTGTTCAGCAGTCTTCAATCTCCTAAATTCATCCTCTACACATTCGTGCAATACAGTTTCCATCACTTAAAGTCGTTACTTAGTACCCTAAATTTCAGAATAAAATTCAAATTCCTTAGTTTGGCAAGTAAGACCTTTTGTTACCTAGCCACTGCCTTCTTCTCAAGCTTTTCTTTTTCATTACTTCCTATAGATTCTCTACAAATGTAATATGCTGTCACCCACCCACCCTACACCTTTGCATATGTGGCTCCCTCTATTCAGGATCTCACTTCATGAAGAATACCTACTATTCTTCCAAAACTGGGCTCAGACATCATGGTCTCTGGGACACTATTGCTGGTCTCTCCTGGTCTGCTTGGTTAGTCTTCCATATTTCTGCATCCCATGCAAATCTCTCCATTTGTATTCTGCAACACAGCATCACAGCTTAACTATTTATCTGTGAAAACCCCAACACATTATGATTTGCTTACTCCCTTTAACCTCCTCTTCTCCACCCACTCAATTCATGACTTCTTTAAGGTCTGTTTCTTTCTTCTATACAATTTCTAGCGCTCAGGATAATATCTGGCCCAAACTCAGGCTTAAACAAACATTTCTAAGTAAATCAGTTTTGAAATTTACAATTATTTTTAAAGAATTTCCTTTGCAGTCTGAAACTTTTAAAACCCCACGAGGAAAAAAAACTTTTATTTCATAAACTGATTCCTTCTGAAGACTGTCACAAGTGATAGGCTCTTTAAACAATTAGGATTTCATCTGCAGCCAACTAAAAAAATATTAATAGCTTTAACCTTGAAGTGATTGCCTAAACAAACAAAATGCTTCAACCTAAACTATCTAACATTACTGTTCAGAGCATAGCAAGTATGGTTTCATAATAAATATGACTTCAAGACAATAAAGAAAAAATTCTGAAAACAAAACTAGGAAATGTATAGAAAATATGGGAGGCTATTAGATGTTGTTTGGACATGACTACAACAAAGAAGAGAACAGATTTTTTCTTTTTTAATAAAAGCCATGCACGAAGTTTGACAGTAAGTCAGGAAAAGGTAAATTCCAGGCACTAAGAGGTAGTTCAGTTAGTTTTTATCTCTTATTGGTCCTTTGCTCTAATACTGCATATATATATATATTTCAGGAGAAAGTGCGAATGTAGTCCCCCACTACCATAAATTATGCAGTTGAGTTTTCCACATTTTGGGAAATTGAAGGGGTCAGCACATCTGGAGTGCAATGGATAAGCCTTGCCCTGGGAAAACCACCTTCGTGATCATGGTAATCTTCCCTGCCAGGTAAGTATATATTGCATATATTTTTAAGATCAATTGTTTTGTTTGCTATTAAAATGTTTGCTGTAATAAATATGCTTATATTTATATAATAGTAGTTTATACAAATGTTTTTCTAATGAAAAATTCAGCACCTCAGCACCCAGACTTTTCTTTTTTGCATGTCATAGATAGCATATATTATATAAAGAGATTTTATAAACATACCTTTTATCTTACAAATGGCCAATTTCAATGTCTGCAACAGTGAACTGTCTCGGGATATTTTAAAAAGTGAGTGACAAGTATAAAAGCTTTTCCCATAAGTTATTACATAGCTAAAGTTTATTCTTAAAACTTAGTATCTGATGAGAACTAAGAGTTTTCTCATATTCATTATATTTAATAAATCACTCTCAAGCATGTATTCTCTGATGAGTTTTGGTTTAAGGCTTTCACACATGCAAATCGGCTTTTAAGGAGTCCTCTTCAATGTGAATTTTATAATGATTAGTAAGGGATGACCTCTGGCTAAAGAGTTTCCCACATGCATTACATTCATAGGGTTTCTCTCCAGTATGAATTCTTTGATGTGCAATAAGTGATGAGCTTTGTCTAAAAGTTTTTCCACATGTATTACATTTAAAGGGTTTTTCTCCTGTATGAATCCTCTGATGTTGTATAAGAGCTGCACTTTGGCCAAAAGACATCCCACATTCTAAACATCGATATGGTTTCTCTCCAGTATGAATTCTCTGGTGATTACTAAGCGATGAGTTACACCTGAATGTTTTGTCACATTCGTTACACTTATAGGGTCTTTCTCCAGTATGCATTCTCTGATGTTGAATGAGAGCGGAACTCTGTCTGAAGGCTTTTCCACATACTTTACATTTACATGGTTTTTCTCCAGTATGAATTCGCTCATGAATAATAAGTGTTGAGTGGGAGCTTAAGGCTTTACCACATTCATTACAATTATACAATTTCTCTCCAGTATGAATTATTCGGTGTCTATTAAGTCGTGAAATAGAAGTAAAGCCTTTCCCACATTCATTGCATCTATAGGGCTTTTCTCCGGTGTGAATTCTTTCATGTTGAATAAGAGAGGCACTCTGGCTGAAGGCTCTCCCACATTCACTACATTTAAAAGGCTTCTCTCCAGTGTGAATTCTCTGATGATAACGAAGGGATGAGCTAGACTTAAAGGTGTTGCCACATTCATTACATAAGTAGGACTTCTTTCTGAGATGAATTTTCTGACTTCCAGAAAGGGAAGTGCTGTAACTGGATGCCTTCCTGCCTGGATTGTATTTATGGGGATTTTCTTGAGCATGGATTTTTTGATGTATAAAAAGCCCAGACCTTCGACTGAAGGATTTACCACATTCTTTACATCTATAGCATTTCTCCACAGTATGGGTCCTTAAATGCTTACAAAGGGATGCACTATGGCTGAAGGCTTTCCCACATTCTTTACATATATAGGGTTTCTCTCCTGTATGAGTTCTTTGATGTTGAATAAGAGCAGAACTTTGGCTGAAAGCTTTTAAACATTCTTTACATTTAAATAATTTTTCTCCAGTGTGGTTTTTCTGATGTTTACGAAGGGATGAATTGTGAATGAAGGCTTTTTCACATGTACTGCATTTATAGCGTTTCTCTGCTGTTTTGATTTTTGATTGGTTAAGTAAATTTGAATTCTGCTTGAAACTATTTCTTTGTATTTCACATTTTGATGGAGTTTTTTCTTTAGCAAATCTCTGTTGCTTAATGAAGACTGATTTCAGGTAGAAGTTTTGGCCAAATTCAACATTTTTATGGCTTCTATCTACAGTAAGGATTTTTGTATGGGCAACTGAAATTATTTGTAAATTTTCATTTTTGTCCTGCTGTTTCTTTAATTTCTCTTCATATATGCAGGATCTTTCTGATATGAAGTTCCAGGGTTCATCCCTTTTCAATCTTTTCCTTATCTGCTCCTGAAATGAATCCTGAGTTTGAGTTGACTTTGTCATTTTAGGTGTGCTCTTACATCCTGAAAAAAGAAAAAAAGAAAGCAACAGCCCATGATTCATGTGATTGGCTGAGACTAAATGTGTAGAAGGGATTAATTGTATCTCAGTAAGGGTTTGCTATATGACTAAAAGAGGATAAAATTCTAAAAAACACTATATAAAATAATGGATGACAGCTGAACTGATAAGTGAACAAATGAATAAAACAAACTCAGTTAAGGCGGGTGAGTGTGTAAGAGTGACCAAGAGAATGGAGCAGAAGGATCAGAGGAGGAGGAGGCATATGAATTTAGGAAATATAATCTAGTACCCAAAGCCTATGATGGACTCATAAATTACCCCATTCCTGTAATTATTTATACTCCTGAATGTCTTCCCTCCTTTTCCTACATTCTGAACTCCTTTGTATCCTTCAGACTCAGTTCAAATGTTAACTCCTCTGTGTACCTTTTCCTAACTTTGAGTTCCAACAACTCACTCCCCTTATTATAGCACTTATTATAGTACATTAAATGCATTTAAGTAAGGAATAATACACATCTAGAGATGCTGAGAAAATGTTCAGCAAAATTCAGCACCACAGACAATAAACACACTCAAGCAAAAATGAACTGAGGGATACTTCCTCAACATAATAGAATACATAGACCTTTGTCCTAAAGCTAGTATCTATTAAATACACTAGAGCTATTTCTGCTATGCTGAAGAACAAGGCAAAGACACCCATTATTTTCCCTACAATTTAACACTGTACTAGACATATTAACCAATGCAATCAGGCAATATAAATCAATTAGATATGAGTAAAGAGAAAGTAAAACTACCTCTATTTGCAGATAATATTAAAAAGTCCAGAGAATGGATTGAGACCATCCTGGCCAACACAGTGAAACCCCATCTCTACTAAAAATACAAAAATTAGCTGGGCATTGTGGCGCACGCCTGTAATCCTAGCTACTCGGGAGGCAGAGGCAGGAGAATTGCTTGAACCTGGGAGGTGGAGGCTGCAGTGAGCCGAGATTGCGCCTGGGTGACAGAGCGAGACTCCATCTCAAAAAAACAGTCCAGAGAATGAATGATAAAACTCACTGAAGTAGCTGGATATAAAATTGACATATTAAAATCAATAGCCTTCATTTATACTAAGAATCACAGTAAATTTACAAGTAATATGAAAAATCTATATAAGGGAAATTTTATACCAGTCTTGAATGACATTAAAGTATATCAGATGAATGACATTAAAGTATATCTGAACAAATAATCACCTCTCCTATTCTTGGATGTAATAACATTATACAAATGTCAGTGCATTAAGACAAGATACAGATAAGGATTTCTCAACCTCAGATGACATTTTGGGCTGATTTTTTAGTTGTGTGGATAGGGTGGGCTGCCCTGTGCATTGTGGAATGTTTAGCAGCATACTTTTGATCTCCACCCAACAGACATCATAGCACCTGCCCCTCACAATTCCTCCCTCCAGGCTTGCGACAAGCAAAAATCTTTCAAGACATTGACAAATGACAGAATCAGTCCTGGTAGATAATCACTGGAACAGATGAAACAAAAATGATCTTGAGTTGGCCAAGCGTGCTGGCTCACACCTGTAACCCCAGCACTTTGGGAGGCTGAGGCAGGTGGATCACCTGAGGTCAGGAGTTTGAGACCAGCCTGGCCAACATGGCGAAACCCTGTCTCTACTAAAAATAACAAAAATTAGCTGGACTTGGTGGCGGGCGCCTGTAATGCTAGTGACTAGGGAGGCTGAGGCAGGAGAATCACTTGAACCCTGGGGGCAGAGGTTGCAGTGAGCCAAGATCACACCACTGCAGTCCAGCCTGGGCAACAAGAGTGCAACTCCATCTCAAAAAAAAAAAAAAAAAAAAAAAAAAAATGACCATGAGTTGACAACTACTGAAATTGGGTGATGGGCTGGGTACAGGTACAGTGGCTCCTTCCTTTAATCTCAGCAATTTGGGAGGCCAAGAGGATCCCTTGAGCCTAGGAGTTCGAGATCAGCCTGGGCAATACAGTAAGATCCCATCTCTAAAACAAACAAAATAAATTAGCTGGGCATAGTGGCACTCATCTGCAGTCCTGGCTACATAAAAGGCTGAGGCAGGAGGATCACTTGAGCCCAGGAGGCTACAATAAGCCATGATTATCTAATTCCACTCCAGCCAGGGTGACAAAGAGACCCTGTCTTTAAAAAAAAAAAAAAAAGAGGAGGCCGGGTGCAGTGGCTCACACCTGTAATCCCAAAACTTTGGGAGGCTGAGGTGGGCAGATCACAAGGTCAGGAGATCGAGACCATCCTGGCCAACACAGTGAAACCCCATCTCTACTAAAAATACAAAAGTTAGCTGGGTGTGGTGGCGTGCCCCTACACTCCCAGCTATTCAAGAGGCTGAGGCAGGAGAATCACTTGAACCCAAGAGGCAGAGGTTGCAGTGAGCCAAGATCGTGCCACTGCACTCAAGCCTGGCAACAGAGTGAGACCCCGTCTAAAAAAAAAAAAAGAAAGAAAAGGAAAAAAAGAAATTGGATGACGAATACATGGGAAGTCATTATATTATTCTACTTTTTTGTTTATTTATTTTGAGACGGAGTCTCGCTCTGTCGCCCAGGCTGAAGTGCGGTGACGTGATCTCAGCTCACTGCAACCTCCACCTCCTGGGTTCACACCATTCTCCTGCCTCAGCCTCCCAAGTAGCTGGGACTACAGGCACATGCCACCACGCCCAGCTAATTTTTGTATTTTTAGTAGAGACGGGGTTTTGCCGTGTTAGCCAGGATGGTCTCAATCTCCTGACCTCGTGATCCACCCACCTTGGCCTCTCAAAGTGCTGGGATTACAGGCTTGAGCCACCACGCCCAGCCTATTCTCTCTACTTTTATATATACTCGAACTTTTCCATAACAAAACTAAAAATGAAGTTTTCTTCCACTTTCTGTCCTTCCTTGTAACAGGAGTGAGTGGGTTAATCTTTTTCCTTTTATAGCCCATGCCTACTAAGAAAGCTGCAATTTAAAAACTCTGGTTTCTGGGCCAGGCACGGCGGCTCACACCTGTAATCCTAGCACTTTGGGAGGCTGAGACGGGCAGATCACAGGAGGTCAGGAGTTCAAGACCATCCTGATCAACATGGTGAAACCCCCTCTCTTCTAAAATACAAAAATTAGCTGGGCATGATGGCGGGTGCCTGTAATCCCAGCTACTCAGGAGGCTGAGACGGGAGAATGGCTTGAACCCAGGAAACGTTGATTGCAGTGAGCCGAGATTGGGCCTCTGCACTCCAGCCTGGGCAGCTGAGCAAGACTCCATCTCAAAAAACAAAAACAAAAACAACTCTGGTTTCTGCAAAGAAATCAGCACACAGGCTGGGCACAGCGGCTCCCGTCTGTAATCCTAGCACTTTGGGAGGCCGAGGCAGGGAGATCTCTTAAGGTCAGGAGTTTGAGACCAGCCTAACCAACATGGTGAAACCCCATCTCTACTAAACACAAAAATTAGCTGGGTGTGGTGGCACATGCCTGTAATCCCAGCTACTCGGGAGGCTGATGCAGGAGAATCGCTTGAAGCTGGGAGGCAGAGGCTGAAGTGAGCCGAGATGGCACCATTGCACTCCAGCCTGGGCAACAGAGTGAGACTCCAGTTCAAAAAAAAAAGCAGCACACACAAACAACAAGGTCCTAAAAAATATATACTTTAAAAACATACTTTCAGCCGGGTGTGGTGGCTCACACCCGTAATCCCAGCACTTTGGGAGGCTGAGGCGGGTGCATCATTTGAAGTCAGGAGTTCGAGACCAGCCTGACCAATATGGTGAAACCCCGTCTCTACTAAATACACAAAATTAGCCAGGTGTGGTGGTGCATGCCTATAATCCCAGCTACTTGGGAGGCTAAGGCAGAGAATAACTTGAACCCAAGAGGCAAAGGTTGCAGTGAGCCGAGATTGTGCCACTGCACTCCAGCCTGGGTAACAAGAGCAAAACTCCATCTCAAAAAAACAAAACAAAACAAAACAAACAAAAAAACCTCCAAGTGGAAAATTTAAACATTTATCAAATGACAAAATGTATGTTTATTTCTTTTCAGAGCAAGAGTGGAAGTTTATTTTAAAAGGCTTTAGAACAGGAAAGAAAGGAAAGTATACTTGGAAGAGACCTAAATGGGCACCGAGGTTAAGTGCCATAAAATGTACATTTAAAGAGTAAATATCAAACAAAGCCTTCTGGGTAGCTGAAGATAATGATGGATGTGTGACAAGCAACCTATCAAAATCTCTTCCCCAAATGATAAGAATTAACTTCATAACTGTAACTTTTTTTTTTTTTTTTGAGACGGAGTCTCGCTCTGTTGCCCAGGCTGGAGCACAGTGGCATAATCTCGGCTCACTGCAAGCTCCGCCTCCCGGGTTCACGCCATTCTCCTGCCTCAGCCTCCCAAGTAGCTGAGACTACAGGCGCCCGCCACTACGCCTGGCTAATTTTTTGTATTTTTAGTAGAGACGGGGTTTCACCATGTTAGCCAGGATGGTCTCGATCTCCTGACCTCGTGATCCGCCCGCCTCGGCCTCCCAAAGTGCTGGGATTACAGGCGTGAGCCACCACGCCCGGCCTAACTGTGACTTTTATGCAAGACCTCACCCTCAGCATACTACCCAATAGACATCAGTAGCACCTCCCCATCAGAACTCCAGATGGTGGCATACTACTTACATACTTAAAGACAGAAAATGCCAAAAGTGCAAAATAAATGTAAGGTAAAAGAAAAAGTAGATGTCAGGGAAGATGGTAGAGTAGGAAGCACCAAGGTTCTATCTATCCACCTAGACAACTGAGGTGTCAGAATCTGTCTGATACAACTATTTTGAAACTCTGGAAACTATATGAAGGCTTGTAGCTTCTAGGGGAAGGCCTGGCCAGTCAAGTGAAATTAATATTAGTTGGCAGCAGCTACCCATCTCCAATCTCCTCATCTCATGGCTTGAAGCCGTACTAGCATCCCTAGCGTGGCCTTTGGTGGCCAAAGTGGCAATAAAGACCTTGTTCTCCAAATAATGGGGATCTGGGTTCTGACTGCAAATTACTGCTTTGAATCACGGAGGTGCAAACACAAATGCAGGCTGCCATTTTTGCAATCCCCACTGACCTGATGTGGCTTCCAGAGGATTTAAGGAACAGTGCCTACTTTTTTCCCCTTCTGTTCCCCTCTTTTTCTGCTTTGGGGAATCAGACATTAAGGATAAGGACATTTGGCCTGGTGGCTCACACCTGTAATCCCAGCACTTTGGAAGGCTGAGGTGGGCGGATCACTTGAGGTCAGGAGTTCCGAGACCAGCCTGGCCAATGGGGAAATCCTGTCTCTACTAAAAACATAAAAATTAGCCAGGTGTGGTGGTGGGTGCCTGTAATCCCAGCTACTCAGGAGGCTGAGGCAGAAGAATCGCTTAAACCCAAAAGGTGGAGGTTGCAGTGAGCTGAGATCACACCCCTGCAACTCCAGCCTGGGTGACAGAGTAAGACTCCATCTCAAAAACAAAACAAAACAAAACAAAGAACAACTGCACACATGGGGAATTTAGAAAGTCACTGCACAAGGCCAGGGAAAGACGTGGGCTCAGAAAAAAATGTGAGAAGACCTACAGGTTATACTTCAGGCTAATTCCTGGACTAGTGCCACCCTACAGCAATAAGAAAACAAAAACCAAAACAAAACAAAACCCAGCAAATCTTACAGAAGTGGGAAAATCTGATCCCGAGTTGCAACACTGTAAGACAAAAAAAAAAAAAGGCATAAAAAAATAGGAAAGTATGGTTCAGTCAATGGAAAAAAATAAATAGAAAACATCTATGGAGAAGACCAGATGGTGGCATGCTACACAAAGACAACTATCATAAAGATGCTCAGAGCTAGAGGGAAATATGAATGACTCATGAAAATAATGAACAAATCGAAGTATCAATAAAAAGAAAACAAAAAGAAACCAAGAGGAAATTCTAGGAGTTGAAAGCATAATAACTGAAATGAAAATTTCACTAGGGAAATTCAAAAGGTTTAAGCGGGCCATAGGAAAAATCAACAAAGTTTAAGATAGGAAAATTAAAATTCCTTGAGTCTAAGGAAGAAAAAGTAGAAAATACTTAAAAAGTGAACAGAACTTAAGGGCCATGTAGGATGCCATCAAGCAGGCCGAAATATGCATCGTCCTGGGACCCTCGCATGGTCACACCAGCCCTGCCTAGGCTCTCGGGCCAGTAGCAGCTCTGTACTTCCCTAGGTCAGAGCTCCCGAAGGGAGAGGCAGGCTGCTATTTTTGCTGTGCCACAGCCCTCACTGCTGTTGCCCTCAGGCTCTGGAGGGGGCACAGTGATTAGGGACTGGAACAGAACTCCAGGAAGTGCACAGCTGCCTCACAAAACGCGGCCAGACTGTTCCCCACACGGGTCCCCATTTCCACTTCTCCTCACTGGACAGGGCCTCCCGACCTGGGACTCCAGCACAACCATCAAGCCTACCTGAATGCTTCAGTTGGAGGTGGCTCTGCATTTCTCTGAGGAGGAAATCTGAGAGAGAACCCATAGCCCCTCCACCACTATAGCTAAAATGGTACCACACTATCCACCCTTGGGTTGGGAAGGAACACAGGGCCCGGTCGCTACACTGGTACCTCTAGTACACTACAGCCACCATATGGAGATGAGCCCAGTCTCTCTACCTTGTGAGCTCCCATAGCCAACTCTTCACCAGGCAGGGACCCTGGCTTTGGACAGCAGAACAGCCGTCCCTCCCCTGGCTGAGCATTCCCACTGGTAGTGGCTCTGTCTTCCCTGAGGAAGGACTCCCAGAGGCAACTGATAGCCCCTATGCCACTGCCACAGCAGCAGTCCTACACCTGCTGCCCTCAGTCTGGGGAAGAAACAGTGAAGCCTTCATCTGGGCTTCTAGCATGCCACAGTCACCATATGGACAGGAGCCCAGTCTCTTCTCCCTGTGAGAACCAATCCCTGACTCTTCACCAAGTAGATCCCCCACCTCAGGCCAGCAGGGTAGCCACCTCGCCCCTCGGCTGAAGATTCCCAGTAGCAGTGGCTCCATGTTTCTGAGGTGGAGCTGACAGAGGCAACCGAAAGTCCCTCTGTCACTGCCACTGCAGTGGTATTGCCCTTGCTACCCTTGGACAGAGGAAGGAACAAAAACCCTGAGTACTTCAGCTGTACCTCCAGGAAGCTGCAGTTGCCATAAGCAGCAGTCAGTCTGTCTCGCTGGTGACCTCCCTTCCCCTGCCAGCTCCTCCTGCTCCTCACCAGGCAGGGCCTCCTTCCCCATCTTGGGCACAGGGCAGTCACCCACCCTGGGCCGACTGCACTGATTGACAGTGGTTCTGCATCTCTTTAGGGTAGAGGCCCATAGACAAGTGAAAGGCTCTCTGCCACAACTACCACCAACCGGAGTCCCTTCCCCTGTTGCCTCCAAGCTAGGAAGCGAACATAAACCAAGATCACCCCAGAGCTATGGTGGGCAGCCTGGCAATGCTAAGCTGAGATGTGCAGCCAGCACTCGAGTGGGAGAGGAGCCCACATTTTCAGAGCACTGAGGGGCACGGCTGCAATCTTGAGGAAATACAGAGGAGTCACATAGCTGAGTAAGAGCCTACCTACTGGCCATAACACTTAAGCCCATCTACCAGACCACAGCCCAAACTTTAACACCAAAATTACTTTGCTAATATACCCCTCTGTGAAACTAGGACAAGAATTCAGCTACAAATAAACACCCTGCATAAAACACTGGCCCTCTGAAAACATTCAAAAAGAAGTCAACTGACTATACTCAAATTACATCACAGTTAATGAAACATTAAGCTCACACAGATGAAAAAGAACCATCATGAGAACTCTGGCAAATCAAAAACCCAGGGTGTCTTCTTTCCTCCAAAAGACTGCACTAGTTTCTCAGCAAGGGCTCCTAAGCGGCTGAAATGACAGAAACAGAACTCAGAACATGGACAGGAACAAAGATCATAAAGATTCAAGAGAAAGTTGAAACCCAATCCAAGGAATGTAAGGATTACAGTAAAATAATAGAGGAGGTGATAGACAAAATGGCCATGATAAGAAAGAACCAAACTGATCTAATAGAGCTCAAAAACATACTACAAGAATTTCATAATGCAACTGAAATGCAGAACAGACCAAGCTGAGGAAAAAATCTCAGAGCTCAAAGTCTGGCTCTCTGAACTCAGCCAGATAGACAGATAAAAATAAAGAAAAAGAATAAAAACCAATGAACAAAACCTGAGAAATAAGGGATTATGTAAAGAGACAAAATCTACGACTCATTGCCATCCCTGAAAGAAGTGGGGAGAAGGCAAGTAACTTGGAAAGCACATTTCAGGATACTATTGTCCATGAAAACTTACCCAACCTTGCTTGAGAGGCCAATATTCAAATGCAGGAAATGGGCCAGGCATGGTGGCTCATGCCTGTAATCCCAGCAATCTGAAAGGTCGAGGCAGGTGGATCACTTGAGGCCAGGAGTTCGAGACCAGCCTGGCCAAAATGGTGAAACGCTGTTTCTGCTAAAAATACAAAAATCAGCTGGGCATAGTGGTGCACACCTGTAATCTCAGCTACTCAGGAGGCTGAGGCAGGAGAATTGCTTGAGCCCAGGAAGTGGAGGTTGCAGTGAGCAGAGATCGCACCACTGCACTCCAGCCTGCCGGACAGCAGAGTGTGTGAGACTCCATCTCAAAAAAAAAAAAAGAAAAAAAAAACAGAGGACTCATATGATGAAAACTACAAACACTGATGGAAGAAAATAAAAAAGACCTCAATAAATAGAACGACATATCATGTTCACAGATTGGAAGACTAAACACAGAAAATTGATATACAGGTTTACTGCAATTCCTATCAAAATCTCAGCAAGATTCTTTTTGTAGAGATTGATGATTATTCTAAAATTCATACAAAGAACTACAGTAGATAAAACTTTCTAAAAAACAACAAGAAGTAATCACTTTACCCAACATTAAAGCCTGTATATATACAGCAATCAACACTGTGTGGTATTGGCAGAGGAACAGAAACACAGAACAATGGAACAGAAAAGAAAACCCAGAAACAACCCAACACGCCCAAGTGACTTTTGACAAAGGCACCAAAGAACTCCGCAGAGGAAAGACGACTTCAACAAATAATGATGGAGCAACTGAAGATTCGCATGCAAAAAAATGAACCTCGCATCTAACACAAAAATTAACTCAAAAAGTGTCATGAATATAAATGTAAAATGTAAAACTACAGCACTTCTAGAAGAACATGGCAGAAAATCTTCATGATCTAAGTACAGGCAGAATTCTTACATTTGACACCAAAAGCACAATCCATAAAAGGAAACACTGATCAACTGGACCTCAGTAAAATTAAAAATTGTGTTCTTCAAAAGAACCAGTAAAAACGATAAAAAGACAAACTACAGAGTAAGAGAAAGCATTTGTGAACCACATATCCGGCAACTACTATCCAGCATATATAAAGATCTTTCAAAACTCAACAGTAAAAAACTCCAAAATAACTCAACTAGAAAATGAACAAAATACCCAGACATTTTATTAAATAAGAAACACAGGCCAGGTGTGGTGACTCACGCCTGTAAGCCCAGCACTCTGGGAGGCCGAGGTAGGCGAATCACTTGAGGTCAGGAGTTTGAGACCAGCCTGGCCAATAAGGTGAAACCCTGTCTCTACTAAAAATGCCAAAAATTAGCTGGGTGTGGTGGCATGCACCTGTAATCCCAGCTACTCGGGAGGCTGAGGTATGAGAATTGCTTGAACCCAGGAGTCAGACATTGCAATGAGCTGAGATCGCACCGCTGTACTCCAGCCTGGGTGACAGAGCAAGACTCTGTCTCCAAAAAATAAAAAATAAAAAAAAGGAAATACAAATGGCAAATAAGCACATGAACTATGTCAAACATCAACAGATGTTAGCAACACACAAATTAAAATCACAATGTATTTCACCATACACCTACCAGAATGGTTAAAATAAATAGTAGTACCAAGGCAAAATATTGGCAAGGATGTAACAACATTGGATCATTCACATGCTACTGGTGAAATGTAAAATGGCACAGCCACTCTGGAAAACAACTTGGCTATGTCTTCAAAAACTAAACCTACAACTACCCCATGACTCAGCAATTCCACTCCTGGGCATTTATCACACAGAAATAAAAACTAATTTTTGCACAAAAACCTGCACATGAATGTTTATAACAGCATTATACTTAAATGCCAAAAACTGTAAATAATCCAGATGTCCAACAAGGGAATGGCTATACAAACTATGATATACTCTATGGAACACGACTCAGCAATTAAAAGAAATGAAGTACTGATGTATACAACTACACAGATGAATTTCCAGAGATTTATGTTAAGTGGGGCAAAAAAAAAAATCCCATAACGTTGTACACATTTTATTATTCCATGTATATGACATTCTTGAAATGATAAAATTATAGAACGGAGAACACATTAGTGATTATCAGGACTTCAGGAAAAGAGGCAGGGAACAGGGGCAGTGAACAAGAGGGAAACAGGTGTGTGTAAAAACGGATACCAGGAGGGATCTCTGTGCTGACTGAAGGGATTTTTCTGTATCTTCACTGTATCAATGTCAGTATCTTGGTTGTGGTATTATACTATGGTTTTGGAAATGAGTATAAGGGACATAGAATCTTTCTATACTACTTCTCACAACTGCATATAAATCTACTATTATCTTAAAATAAAAAATTTTCTAAAAAAAGTAAAATTCCCCTGCAAAGTAAAAATATCAAACTCATACCATCCTCCAAATCTAATCTCCTTCCAGTGGTAGTATCTCATTGAATGACACCGGCCATCCCAGAACAAACCAGAAACAAAACAAGCATCCCTGACAACCCTATCTCGTTTATCTTCCACATCGAATCCAAGTCCTGCTGGCTGTATCTCCTGGACATCTCTGGGACTGGTTCACTTCTTTCTGTCTCCAACACCACTAACCTAGTCCAAGTCACTCGTGCATTCATTATACAACTGGACGCCTACCCTGGCCAGGGACTGTTTTAGGTTCTTGGAAAACAGGAGTGAATGAATGAGGCAACCCCTCCTACAGCAGCTTACAATGCAGAGGCAGAGACAGATCATGAAGAAACAGGTCTATTACACAGCGCTAAGCATGGAGAGGGAAAATAAAGCACGGTGAGGAGATGGCGTGGGGGCTGCAGGGCTGCGTGTCAGATGATCTGTGCCTGTGTGAGCCGAAGCCAGTGCAGCACAAGGAAGTGAGTGAGCCACATGGACGCATGACTGCCACGAAGAACAGTCCCAGACAGAAAAAAGCAGGGCAGAGGCCCTGAGTGGGGGCCTGCTTGGCCCCCCTGACAAACAGCAGGGCGGCCAAGGGTGATCAGAGGCCTTGAATGAAGGGCAGAGTGGAAGGAGCTAAGGGTGAAGAGGTAGCCAGGGCCAGACCATGTAGGTCTCTGAAGGCCATGATGGGGACTTTGGGCTATACTGTATGGGATGGAAACCAACGGAGATTTTGAGCACAGAAGCAATATGGTTGATTTACTCTTTAAATAGATAATTCTGGAAGTTATGAAGAGAAGAGATGTTGGTAGGAGGGGAGGGGCAGGGCATATGTACGAGTCTTTGCTGGCAAACAAGAAAAAGACTAACTCATACAAATTAAACCGGACTATACTGGGTAGGTGCGGTGGTTCAGGCCTATAATCCCAGCATTTTGGGAGGCTGACATGGGAGGATTGCTTGAGGCCAAGAGTTCAAAGAACAGCCTGGGCAGCATAGCAAGACCTCCATCTCTACAAAAACAAGTAAAATGCAATAGGGCTACAGGGCATTGTGGCCACACTTCCATCTTGTAAGCAGTCACTTTTTAAAACATTCCAGGCCATGTCATCAGGGCTGTTGCTAAGCCCCACAGCATCCTGTGCAAATCAGGAAAAGACAGTCCTCCCTGTGTGCAGTTGCTGCTTCAGCAAACCTTGCTGAGCAACCCCTCCGTTCACCACCCTGCACCATTCAGCCTACCCAAGATGGCTTCTTGCAGTAAGAAAACAAAGCAGGCCGGGTGTGGTGGCTCACGCCTGTAATCCCAGCCTTTTGGGAGGCTGAGGGGGACAGATCATTTCAGGTCAGAAGTTCGAGACCAGCCTGGCCAACATGGCAAAACGCGGTCTCTACTAAAAAAATGCCAAAAATTAGCCCGGCATGGTGGCGTGTGCCTGTGATCCCAGCTACCGGAGAGGCTGAAGCACAAGAATCGCTTAAACCTGGGAGGAGGGCACTGCAGTGAGCTGAGAATCACGCCAATGCACTCCAGCCTGGGCAACAGAGCAAGAGTCCATCTCAAAAGAAAATAACTTTGTACAAGTATATTTTGAGGCTACTGGAGGTTCGAGAGAGTCCTATCATGGGGAGCATAAGTTTTTCTATCACTGGCTGTTCAAAGGGTAGGTTTTTGTCTAAAATATTTTTTTTCTTTTTTAAAGTTATATAAACACAGACAGGGTCTATGTTACCGAGGTTGGTCTCGAACCCCTGGGCTCAAGTGATCCTCCCACCTTGGCCTCCCAAAGTGCTGGAATCACAGGCGTGACCCACCTCACCCAGCCTACAGGTTGAGTTTTTGGTTCGAGCTAGAGTTAATAATCTGAGATAATTCCAGGAACATCCCAGTCCTTCAACCACGCTCTCAATGAAGTGAGCACTCATGGGAAAAGGAAGCTGTCCTGGGGCAATCTTAGTCCAGGCAGACAGGAGCCCCACCAGGGGTGCAGCAGAGATGCAAGCACGTCAGCACCCTAGGAATGCCATCTGACTTCCATCTGACAAAAGGAGGACGAAGGTCATCCCACCAAGAGCAATCGGGCAGGAAACAGCTCTGACGTCCTTTCTTACTCAATCAACTGCTCAGGGTTTTCCCGCAGGGCCATCCTCCCCAATCTGAAAAGGGACTGACTGACAACACTATCAGGTGCCCGGCATCCCTCTGGACAACTCTGCACTCGTCATATTTTCAGCCTGTTAATACTTCTCTCTAGAGGGGAGACTTACTCAGCCATCAGGTGCTCCCTAGTTAAAGGGAAAGGGAACAACTCTTTCTTTCTTCCTGCTCTTCCACACAAGATTCGGCCCACACATAATGGCCAGACTGACGCCCCTCTTAAATCTCACCTGGTTCCCTGCTGCTTGCATTCGGCTTACTTTGTGGTGGTCTCTGGCAGTTCATTAAATTTTAATTTAATATAAAATTAGTGTATTTCTACCAAAGGAGATTAAAAACACAAGTGTGGTTCCCCTTTTTAAAAAAAAAAGTTCAAGCTATCATCACGAGAAAGCTCTCCCCAGCACAGGGGCTATGGGGACCAAAGCTGCCTGCCGTGCAGCTCCTCGCTGGGCCCGTGGCACAAGGGGCCATCACTGAGCCCTCTGGACTTGACAAGCCCTGCACTGTGGCGGTCAGGTTCCTCACATGCGCTGGCAGCTGCAGAATGCAGCCTGGGCCTGCCCTGGGCTACTTATGGCTCCTCAGAGCCTATGCTTAGCTCTCAAGCACCAACCAAACTCTATGACAAGGCCCGCGGCTCTCTTCGGTGCCTGGCTCTACCTTCTCCTCACTGGCTTTACTTCTTTGGACCTTCACGAACACCATTCTTTTTTTTTTTTTTTTGAGTTGGAGTCTTGCTCTGTCACTAAGGCTGGAGTGCAGTGGCGCGATCTCGGCTCGCTGCAAGTTCCACCTCCCGGGTTCACGCCATTCTCCTGCCTCAGTCTCCCGAGTAGCTGGGACTACAGGCGCCCGCCACCATGCCCGGCTAATTTTTTGTATTTTTAGTAGAGACGGGGTTTCACCATGTTAGCCAGGATGGTCTCGATCTCCTGACCTCGTGATCTGCCCGCCTCGGCCTCCCAAAGTGCTCGGATTACAGGCGTGAGCCACTGTGCCCGGCCACAAACACCATTCTTTAGGCCTGAGCAATTCTTCAGTCCTTTGATCCCAGGCCCTTCCACAGGGAAGCCTTTGCTGATGCCACCTGCCTGCTCTGCACTCTCACAGCACCGAGTGTCTTTCCCACGTGGTCCTCACTGGAATGTGTCCTTCTGTGCCTTGTGTGCAATGAGTGTGTTCACCTTGTCCCCCACTAGATCGTGCACTCCAGAAGCAGGAGACCTGTGTCCCTTTCTGCCCAATGCTATACAAAGCTGTGGGCGAGGGTTCAACCTTGATCCCCCAGAGCCAGAGCCCCCCCAGTTCAACCACTCTCAGTCCCCCACTGCCACGATGGCCCCTCCCCGTTTCTCTCCTCTGATTACTTCTCGGGCTCTGTCAGATTCCTCCTGCTTAAGCACCTCGCAAATGCTGTTTCCTGAAATTCGGGCCTCCACTTGGCCCCCTCACCTGGCCAGCTCCAAGCTTCTAATGCCCGTCATGCTGATGGGCTCCCTGACCTCCCTTGAGTCTCGGCCCTGTCACTTACACACCTGCCCACCAGGGTTCCCCACCTGACGACTTCACTCACATCTCAAGTGAAATCCATCCCACACCCAACTGCTCCTGTACCCTGATCACGTGGGCGCCACCTCCTCCCTCACGAACTCACGGCAAGTGCCTTCATCCAGGCCCTTCCACCTCCTGCCTCCCTCCATGATTGCAATTGCTCTGCAAGGCTTCCTGCCTCTAGTTTTGCCTCACTTTCAATCACGATACTCCCAAAGTGACCATCTGTATTAAATTCGAATCACATAGCAACGTCATGAATATATTCTCTTTGTGAAAAATTAAAATGTTACATGTAAATAACATCCCCTTCCATGGACCCATTCTCAATCCCATTCCAAGTGTAACTAATGTCACCAGCTAAGGTGTGTCCTCCTAACCTTTCTCTCTGCTTATGTGCACATTACACATACATGTAATTTTCATTAGACATAAATGGTGGCGTCCCAACAATGCTCTGTAACTTTTTGGGAGCTCTGTCCACGTCCCTGGACTCTTGTTTTCAGGGTGGTGATGCTCACCAGAGTAAGGACACGCCACAGGTCCCTTAGCTGTTCTTACACGGATGGAGACTCAGCTGTTTCTGATTCACACCAACTTTTCTAAGATACCAAGGACCATATGATTCCTGCCCAAATCCTTCCATTATTTCCAGTGCTCCATGGGACAGTTTCCACCTCTTACAACTGTGCCCAAGCACTTACTACGCGGCCCTTCCCTAGCTTTCTAGGCTATTTCCTTCCTCACCTCCTCCTTTCCCAAATACACCCTGAGCTTCAGCCAGAGTGATTATTTGAAGTTCCTTAAATATACTATGTTTGCTGAATGAATACATGCAAATACAGCCCTATTCTAAAACAACAGGAAAGAGTAAGAAAAGAGATGCTGAGAGATTCATGGGGAAGTGATTACAAGTGACTAATCCTGCCTAAGAGCCTGGGCTTCCGCTTCCCCACCACTTCTTGAGGCCTGAGAATTCTCAAGGGAGTTTCCCAACCAATGTTCCTACCTCCTCTCATTAACCAGACCATTGTCTGCGGCCATTCCCGAGCACCTCGGGCCACCCACTTACCTAGAGAGGAGACACCAGAACTGTCTTTCTCCACCTCCCAGGGATCTTCTCCTTGCTGCAACAGGGAGATGACTTTTGGTTTGGTAAATGAGAGTCCTGCACATAAACAACAACAACAACAAAAGTCTCAGTCTTCGTTTTGACACAACAAAGTATCCCTTGATTATTAGGGTAACCGTGGCTTTTCTACAGAAGGAATGTTGCATGTATGATGTAATTAAAACTTATAAACTGGCATCTATAGAATGATCTATCAAGTAACTTTTTTTAAAATGAGAAAACATCGTATGATTCCCTTTTGAAGATGGATTTTACAAGATTCATCTGGCTGCAAAGGAGCAGTGGGAAAGGCAATGGTAGGTCGATGAAGAAGGATGAGGTAAGCCCTCTGCTGAGAGGTGAGCAAACAAACCACAGAACAACCAAAGCAGGAAAATGCTGCCTGAACTATGAGAGAATTTCTAATGTGAAATTGTGCAGCAGGAAGGGGATAATTATCAATACCCACCCGCCAAGACATAGAGCAATTCCATACTTATTAGGAGAAAGTTAAGTTATCAATGTTTATTTACAGAGATCTGATTTGTACAATCCTCAAACTGAGCTCAAATTTTTCAGTGATCAACTGCTTTTATTCAGGGAAGGAGGTGCTGAGATATCCCAATTTTTGAATTCTGTTTCTAGAGGGGAAATTTCCTTACCCAGTGAGACCAGGTTCCTATAGTTCTCCAGCATCACATCCCGGTACAAGTTTCTCTGAGAAGGAGCCAGCTTTCTCCACTCATCCCAGGTAAAGAGCACAGCCACGTCCTCGAATGTCAGTGACACCTGTAAGGACAAGTCGTTCCAGCTCACCCAGGACCACCCTCACAGAGTGGAGGGGGCGGCAGTGGGGAAGACACGCTACCCGTGAAACACTTCTCATACTATTCAAGCTTCTGAAGGTTCCAGGTCATTCCTTTAATGAATAATTGGCCAGTAACAAATGTATACTGAGCAGCACACAGTGAGATTCAGGCCTAGTGCAGCCACTGTAAGAAATGGGTAGAGGAATTACGGCCATTAGTGGGACCCTTAATTAGAATAATCTTTCGTTGGCAATTTTATAATACATAAGAACTTAGAACTATGTATAATCTTTAACTCACCAATTACTGTAAGAAACAGTGCACAAAAATATAAGCACAAGGATACTTATCATGGTGTTAGTAGCAAAAAAAAACAGGAAACAACCTAAATACTCACTGATATAGGCTGGGTTAAATAACTTACGGCACTACCTGTGTGCTGATTCAAGCTTGAGGATAATAATGATGAAAATCAGAACACCTCTCTTTTACTGAATGCTTTACATGGGCCAGACACTATATTTAGAGCTTTGTATTAATCATTAGTATATACTGTATCTAACCTTCACAATTACCTTATGAAGAAAATAGTTATCGTTCCCATTTTACATCACAGAAAGCAAAGTCACTGAGAGGCGAAGCAATTTGTTTAAAGTTGGCTGGGTGCAGTGACTCATGCCTGTAATCCCAGCACTTTGGGAGGCCGAGATGGCTGGATCACAAGGTCAAGAGATCGAGACCATCCTGGCCAACATGGTGAAACCCTGTCTCTACTAAAAATAACAAAAATTAACCAGGCATGGTGGTATGCACCTGTAGTCCCAGCTACTCAGGAGGCTGAGGCAGGAGAATCGCTTGAACCCGGGAAGCAGAGATTGCACTGAGCCGAGATCATGCCACTGCACTCCAGCCTGGAAACAGAATGAGACTCCATCTCAAAAAAGAAAAAAAAAATTCGTCTAAAGTCACACAGCTGTTCAGTGGTAGAGCGGGGATTCCAATCCAGGCAGATGTCCTGGGCTCCATTCAAAAGTACTCTAAAACTGCCTCTCAAAATCTACCACATACTTAATAAAGAAATAAGTTCATCTGCACAATGCACTTAAAACCATATCGGGCTCACATTAAAGGTTCCAATGTCAGCTATTATCACATTAATACAAACAAATATTAGGCAATCATTAGAGCTGATGGTATAAATTGCTATTTGTTGACATAAAAAGACATCCATGAAAATGTTAAGTACAAAGCAGGTTATATATCACTGTTTCGAGTTTGTCCCCATTCAAAAAAATGTTTCTGGCCAGGTGTGGTGGCTCACACCTGTAATCCTAGCACTTTGGGAGGCCGAGGCGGGTGGACTGCCTGAGCTCAGGAGTTCGAGACCAGCCTGGGCAACACGGTGAAACCCTGTCTCTACAAAAATACAAAAAATTAGCCGGGCGTGGTGGCATGTGCCTGTAATCCCAGCTACTCGGGAGGTTGAGGCAGGAGAATTGCTTGAACCCAGGAGGCGGAACTTGCAGTGAGCCGAGACTGCACCACTGCACTCCAGCCTTGGTGATAAAGTGAGACTCCCTCTCCAAAAAAAAAAAAAAATTTCTACATACATAAAAAACTATTGAAACATTCAATAAACTGAATGACAGTGATTATCTCCAGATGGTGGGGTTAAGGGTGATTTTATTTTCTATTGTACATATGAAATATATAGAGTACACAGTCGTGTGTCGCATTAACGATGGAGGTACATTCTGAGAAATGCATTGTTAAGCCATTTCATCATTATGGGAATATAAGAGAGAAACCTGGATGGTATGGCCTCCCACACACCCGGGCTATATGGTACAGCCTGTTACTCCTAGGCTACAAACCTGTACAGCATGTTACCGTACTGAATACTGTAGAGAACTGTAAGACAATGCTAAGTGTCTGTGCATGTAAATATATTTAAACATAAAAAAGGCATGGTACGCTACAGCATAAAACAGAAGAAATGGTACACCTGTATAGGGCTCTTGCCATGAATGGAGCTTCCAGGACTGGAAGTCGCCTGGCTGAGTAAGCAGTGAGTGAATGTGAAACTTAGGACACTATTGTGCATGACTGTAGACATTTTAAACACTGTACACTTAGGCTACACTAAATTTATTTTTTTAAAGTTTTCTTTAACAAATTGTCCTTAGCTTACTGTAACTTTTACTTTCTAAACTTTTTAATTTTTTCAAACTTTGACTCTTTTGTAGTAACACTTATCTTAAACACATTGTCTAGCTGTACAAAAATATTTTCTTTCTTTATATCCTTATTTTATAAGCTTTCTCCTATTTCAAAAGCTTTTAATTTTATTTTTACTTTAAAAATTTTTTTGTTAAAAACTAGGACATAAATATGCACATTAGTCTAGGCCTACACGGGTCAGCATCAACACCACTGTCTTCCACCTCTCCACCCTGCCCCACTGGAAGGTCTTCAGGGGCAATGACACACATGCAGCTGTCATCTCCTATGAGAACAAAGCTTTCTTCTGCATACCTCTCAAAGAACCTGCCTGAGGCTGTTACAGTTAACTTTTTAAAAAACAAGCAAAAGGAAGACACTGTAAAATAACAAGAATAGTACAATAAATATATAACCCAGCAACACAGTCAGATATCATCAACTATTATGAACTGTACAATCGCATATGCTGTATACTTTTATAGGACTGGCAGGCTGCATGGTAGGTCTGTTTATACCAGCATCACCACAAAACAGGAGCAAAGCCCTGCACTATAATGTTACAATAGCTACTTAGTCATTAGGAGACAGGAATCTTTCAGCTAGGTTTTAATCTTATGGGACCACTATCACATTTATGGTCTTTTATTGACCAAAATGTCATTATGCAATGCACAACTATATAAACATACACATACATATGCACATATATATACACACGTATCCATAAACATACATATATATACACACACATATACATATGTATATATATAAATGTTTTATTCTCTAAAATTTACACCATAACCCTGCAATATTTTTATGGTGAAAAAGAGCATCAAATTATCTGCATATTGGGGAAGAGTACAAGACATGATCTTTGTTCTCAAAGAATGTATAATCTGACTGGCGGACTAGAAAATGCATGAAATAATTTGAACCACTGTGTATCTGCATAGAGCCCTGAGACAAGAACACAAGGTCCAGGGCAGCCAAGATCCCAGGTCATGTGCTTTGCTAGAGGTAGCAGCAAGATCATAACTCCGGTTTTCTAATTGTGAACTCTGCACTCTCTGGTCTTAAAATTCCCTTCACTGAATTTTACACACAGGTCTACACATTACTGACGCATGGCAAGCAAGAACAGACAGGAAGGATGCCACAGAGACTCACCCACACACAGGGATGGAGAAGGTTCTAGTCAGGAGAGCAGCTTGGCTCTGTGAGAATGGAATAGGAATGCCTTCGAGGACAAATACCAGCTCAAATGCACAATAGCCTGTTCTGGCCACACCCTCAGCTCCCACTCCACTGTCTTGGCTAGTTTAAAAGATAACGCCGCCAGGCGCGGCGGCTCACACCTTTAATCCCAGCACTCCGGGAGGCTGTGGCTGGTGGATCACGAGGTCAGGAGATTGAGGCCATCCTGGCCAACATGGTGAAACCCCGTCTCTACTAAAATACAAAAAAAAATTAGCCGGGCGTGGTGGCACATGCCTGTAGTCCTAGCTACTCAGGAGGCTGAGGCAGGGGAATTGCTTGAACCAGGGAGGCGGAGGTTGCAGTGAGCCGAGATCGCGCCACTGCACTCCAGCCTGGGTGACAGAGCAAGACTGCCTCTCAAAAAAAAAAAAAAAAAAAAAAGATAATGCCACGCTGCAGAAGCACTCTGGTATCGCGTGGCTGCATCTGCCCATACTCTGAAAGACGCACCACAGGGACGACTGGGTGGTCCGACGGAACTCAGAGCCAGGCATACTTGGACTGTACTCAGGTTACTTAACTTTTCTGAGCCTCAGTTTCCTCACATGTAAAACAAGAATTGTAATTGTTGTGCTACTGTGCGAGTGAGAGAACAAATGTAAAGCCCTCAGCCCATTCCCTGGTATGCTAGACACTCGGTGGACATTAGTATTGTTAGATAAAAAAATGAATAAAGGATAACATCGTCTGGGTCCTAAACACATTGTACAGCAGTTTCTATCTACCAACATTAACATTAATATATTAAGACAATAATGTCACTCAGCAAACACAACCACCATATGCTGAGCAGTAACTACTCAGTGCCCAGCCCTGATCCGAACACTTTCCACACACTAACTCATGTGATCCCTTCATCTACGCTGGGAGGTGGGCACGGCTGTTATTCCCATTTTACAGGTGAGAAAACTGAGGCACAGAGAGGTGAAGCCCAAGGCCCACAAACAGCAACAGAGGAGATGGGTTAAAACGCTGCCATCTGGCTTAACAGCCCTACTTCCTAACTACCACCTACGCTGCCTCTGCACTATTGCTATCCCATGAAACCCTTCCTGCCGCTAGCTGAGGGGTCTTCTGTGTCCTGCGAGTCAAGCGACCTCTCCAACTCTGTTCACTCTCGTCTCAACTAGAAAGGGTGGCCTCCTCATTCCCACTACACAAAAATGAAAACGGTCTACAATAGATTTCAAGACAGTGATACAAGCAAAGAATATGATTCACAAAGTTAAGAGGGACAAAAAACTAACAACGATGCGTTGGAGAAGCCTGGGGAAGGGGTGGTGTTATGAGGATTCTCAGGGGTGAAAAGAGAAAGTATTCCTGCGAAGGACAGGAACGGAGACATGGGTGAGTGGAGGAGGCAGGGATTTTTCCCACGTGTGTACGTTTGCTCTTAGTGACAGACAGACTTGTGGTATCTTACTTGTCAAACTAGTCACACAATGGATGAAGATTCGTGAACAAACTGTTAATTAAAAACCACTAGACACGGGTGGGGAGGGTGGGTGGTCCTCCCTACAGAATCCACCAGTCATGAGGGCGGACCAGCTCCTCCAAGAGAAAAGGACTTGGGCTCCATCCTGGCTGGAGATGGTCCCGGGTGAAGAACTCCAGTTAGTGGGGAAAATCCATCCACTGGGATCTGGGAGGGCAATGAGCTCACCTGGGGCCTCGCTTCCCGCTGCCCAGCAGCCATGTCCTCTTTCTGGCTCTCCCGGGAGGACGGCGCAGTCTCCAGAAGGCAGATCTGAGAAGAAAAAGGGAGCCAGGAAGAACCCCTTCTGCTTTCCAGCCCTGGAATCCGCAGCTCTAAAACCCCGACTCCCGCTGAGAAGGACCCCGCGCGCCCTCACAGGGATTCGGGAGGAGCCAGGAGCCCGCGGACCAGAGCAGCGCTGGGCCGCCCGGCCAGGCCCAGGCCCCACAGGCTTGGGGCTTACGGAGGGGACGCTGGACCCGCAGTGGCAGCAGCGACCCGCTGAGCCCACCAGGGCCAGGGCTCGCCCCACGCCGCTGAGTTCCTCGGCGCCAGCTGGCACTGCCAGCACCCACTGCACCGCTCAGGAAACTGAGGCAGCGCCGGGGCACCTGCCCCGTTCACGCCGCTGCGAGGCGGGCCGGGACTCCCACCACGACGGCCCCGGGACGACTTCCCTCCGCCTCAAGCCTTTCCCAGCCGGTTCCTCTCTCTCCCGCCAACGAATCGTCTCCCGACTCCACGGAAAACGGCTTTGAAGAGGAAAGCGCTGGGTGTCCCGAGGCAGGAGGAGTGGCCGTCCTGGGGACTGACTCAGAAACCGGGCCCGGCTGCCTCTGCCCTGCGCTCGGGGTCCCGGCGCCCCGAGTCCGCGAGGCCCACACGGCGCGCGCAGGGTGGGCCCGGGAGGAAACGCCTGGCCCCGCGTTCACGGCGGGCGGCGCGAGCCAGAGGCAGGGGCGTCGGCAGCGGCACCGGAGCGGCCCGTGAGGGGCGAGAGTCCAAGTCCTGGCGCGGGGGCCGGTGACAGACGCGGGGGTGCCCCCCCGCGCCCACAGAGGCCCTCGGAGCCCCGCGGCCTCAGGTCGCCCTGGCGCCAGGCGCCGCCTCCTCCCGGCACAGCCAGCCATGCCGCTCACCTCCCCAGGATCCCGCGTTCCCGGGCCGCGCCTCCCCGCCGCACTCTGCAAGCAGGAAGCTCCAGCCTCGTGACCCGGCTCCTCCGACGTCTGGGCGACCTCAAGCCCGGCGCCGCTCACCGGGCAGCGAAAGCTCCGCAGAGCGCCTGGGACCTAGAGGAGCAAGGCGGCCGCTAAGGCCTCTAGGAAATGGAGTCCACGGGAGGACGCTGGCTTTCTGGGAAGTGTAGTTCCACGCGTTTGAGGCGAGGTCGCAGCTGAGCTGTTAGGCGCCCAGACCTATGAGAGGGCCCGGGTGAGCTGTAGAGCCCCGGGTTCCTGGTTCTTCGGAAGAGAAGGGGAGGTTCCCGGAGGGCAGTAACTTGCAACTCTGTGTGTGAATTTCAGGATGGCGTGGGCGGCACGAAAACAACTACTACACAATTGGGAAAGGAAAATCCCCTGCAAAAGATGTTGACAAAGCTGGATTTCCACGTGCAAAAGATGAGCCTGTACCCTGACCGTACACCATACATAAAAATTAACTCAAAATTGATTAAAAACCTAAATGTGAGACCAAATTATTTTATAAATTACTAAAGTAAAAAGGGAAAAAACTTCAGGATGTTGGAGATGGCAATGATTTCTTGAATATGACATCAGAAGCACAGATAACAGCAAAAATAGACAAATGGGACTACATCAAACTTAAAAACTTTGGCTAATCAAAGGAAACAAAGGCAATCTACAGAATAGACGAAAATGCTTACATATCATATATCTGATTTGCAATGTATCCTGGATTTATATGGAACTTTTACAACTCAACAACAATAACAAAACCAAATAACCTGATTTTAAAATGGACAAAGGACTTGAATAGGCAATTCTCCAATGAAGATATACAAATGAGCAATGAGCAACAAGCATATAAAAAGATGGTAAACATCTCTAGGTATAAGAGAAATATAAACCCAAACTCAATGAGAAATCACTGCACCTCCATTAGGATGGCCACTATCAAAAGGATGTAAATTGGTACAATCATTACAGAAAACGGTATAGAGGTTCCTCAAAAAATTATAACTAGAGCTACATTAGGATCCACCAATCCCATTTCTGGCTATAGATCCAGAGGAAGTGAAACTCCGTGAGATACCTGCACTCCCATGTTAGCTGCAACATTATTCACCATGGCCAAGATATGGAAACAACTATCTGTTGATGGATGAATAGATAAAGGAAATGTTTTGTTTGTTTGTTTGTTTGGGACGGTGTCTTGCTCTGTCACCCAGGCTGGAGTGCAATGGCGCAATCTTGGCTCACTGCCACCTCCGCCTTCCAGGTTCAAGCAGTTCTCTGCCTCAGTCTCCCAAGTAGCAGGGATTACAGGCACCCGCGACCACGCCCAGCTAATTTTTGTAGTTTTAATAGAGATGGGGTTTCACCATCTTCACCAGGCTGGTCTTGAACTTCTGACCTCGTGATCCACCCTCCTCGGCCTCCCAAAGTGCTCGGATTACAGGCGTGAGCCACCGAGCCCGGCCACAATGTGTTTATATACACAAAGGAATATTATTCTGCCTTAAAAAAATAAAGAAATCCTGACATATGTGACAATATGGATGAACCCGGAGGACATTATGTTAAGTGAAATAAAGAAGGCACAGAAATACAAATACTGCATTATTTCATTTACACGTAGAATCTAAAATAGTCAAAATCATAGAAGAAAGTAGCATGGTGATTTCCCTGTGTGTTAATTACCAATCTTCCCATATAGGTAATTCCATATGGCACAACTGTCCCTTACTTGTAGAGCCACGCCCACCCTGTTGCCATGAACTGCAGGTGTCCTTCCATGGTTGCTTGCCCAGTGCAAGGCCCTGTTATCTCTCTCTACACTACTCTACACTTCCACAAGCTGCTGCTTCTGTTTTTTTTTGTTGTTGTTGTTGTTGTTTGTTTTTGTTTTTGAGAGACGGGGTCTCACTATGTTGCCCAGGCTGGTCTCAAACGCCTAGGCTCAAGTGATCCTCCCGCCTCGGCCTCCCAAAGTGCTGGGATTACAGGCGTGAGCCACTATGCCTGGTGTAAAAAAGATTTTTTAACAAAAATGAGATGTTTTATTGTCTTCTCTTTGCAATTAGAGTGAAAGCCAGAATCCTTGTTGTGGGCCCTAAACCATATGGCTTTTGACTCCTTTTCCAGTATCTACTGTTTTTCTTCTACACTCTGCTTCTCAGCACAAAGCCGAATGTGTTGCTGTCTTCCATAAAAATCCTTCCTCCAGTCGGGTGTGGTGGCTCACACCTGTAATCCCAGCACTTTGAGAAGCTGAGGCAAGTGCATCACTTGAGGCCAGGGGTTTGAGACCAGCCTGGCCAACATGGTGAAACCCCGTCTCTACTAAAAATACAAAAACTAGCCAGGCGTGGTGGGGCACGCCTGTAATCCCAGCTACTCAGGAGACTGAGGCAGGAGACTCTCTTGAACCCAGGAGGGCAGAGGTTTCAGTGAGCTGAGATTGTACCACTGCATTCCAGCCTGGGCAACAGAGCGAGACTCTGTCTCAAATAAATAAATAAACAAATCCTTTCTCAGCTGGGCACAGTGGCTCATGCCTGTAATCCCAGCACTTTGGGAGGCCCAAGTGGGTGGATGACCTGAGGTCAGACCAGGCTGACCAACATAGTGAAACCCCATCTCTACTAAAAATACAAAATTATCCAGGCGTGGTGGCACATGCCTATAATCCCAGCACTTTGGGAGGCTGAGGTGGGACAACTGCTTGAGCCCAGGAGTTTGAGACCAGCTTGGGCAGCATAGTGAGATCCTGTCTCTACAAAAAAAAAAAAATTATGAAAATTAGCTGGGCATGATGGCACACTCCTGTGGTCCCAGCTACTTGGGAGGCTGAGACAGGAGGGTTGCTTGAGCCCGGGAGGAGGAGATTGCAGTGAGCTGAGATTGTGCCACTGCACTCCAGCCGCCTGGGCAATAAAGCAAGACCAGATCTGTCTCATATAAATACATACATACATACATACATATATATATACACCCCAACCCTCAAAAGCCAACAGCCAACAATGATGTAAAAAATTAAAAACTCAACCGGGCACAGTGGCTCACGCCGGTAATCCCAGCATTTTGGGAGGGTGAGGCGGGCAGATTACTTGAGGTCAGGAGTTCGAGACCAGCCTGACCAATATGGAGAAAACCCGTCTCTACTAAAAATATAAAATTAGCCGGGCATGGTGGCACACGCCTGTAGCCGAACTACCCGGGAGGCTGAGGTGGGAGGATCGCCTGAGCCCAGGAGGTTGAGGCTGCAGTGAGCCATGATCGTGCCATTGCACTTTAGACTAGGCAGCAGAGTGAGACCCTGTCTCAAAAAGAAAAAACAAAAAACCAAATTTGTACTTCTGCTCTGGGGAAAACAGACATGTATTTCCCTACTCTTTTCACTAAACACACTACAAATCTTCACTATTGTATCTAAAACAAACATAAGAAAACTCTGAAAAGTAGAGAGAAGCAAGCCACTGGCAATGGCACTCAGTCAGACTCAAGTGACAACATGGTGATGAGTTCTCTGGGTCTCTGTTTACCTCATATATCCTAGTCTTGGAAGCAAAGAAGCTGGCAACTCAGAAATGCAAATGGGCACACAAAAAGCACCCCCCAAAAGTCTCCATCCTCTCTCTAGCCAAAAGACCAGGAAAGGGACAGCCTATCACGACAGTACACAGTAACTGCTTTACTCCAGTCAGAACTGCAGAAAAACCATGTCCACACCCCTACTATGCCAACAGAAATGGAAGAAGGGCCTAGACTTCCATCTCTGCCAGGAAGAAAGGAGGGCAAATGCAATAGGCTTCCCTTCTCCTCTTGAGTCTTCTAAATTGTGTTTGATAGTGGAGGCAAAAATTATAATTGTCCTGTGGGTCTAAATACACATAGAGGGGCTGGGTGCAGTGGCTCACGTCTGTAATCCCAGCACTTCGGGAGGGCGAGGTGGGCGGATCACTTGAGGTCAGGCGTTTGAGACCAGACTGACCAACATGGTGAAACCTTGTCTCTACTAAAAATACAAAAATTAGCCGGGCGTGGTGGTGTATGCCTGTAATCCCAGCTACTCGGGAGGCTGAGGCAGGAGAATCACTTGAACCTGGGAGATGGAGGTTGCAGTAAGCTGAGGTCACGCCATTGCACTCCAGCCTGGGCATCCCAGCGAGACTGACTGTCTGGAAAAAAATAAAAGTAAAAAATACCACTCTGCGTTCTGGTTCTGGTCTGGCATGTAAGAAGCTTAGAAATCTCCACTCCTGGCCGGGTATGGTGGCTCATGCCAGTAATCCTAGCAGTTTGGGAGGCCCAGGTGGGTGGACTGCCTGAGCTCAGGAGTTCGGGACCAGCCTGGGAAACACGGTGAAACCCCGTCTCTACTAAAATACAAAAAACTAGCTGGGCATGGCGGTGGGCGCCTGTAGTCCCAGCTACTTGGGAGGCTGAAGCAGGAGAATCACTTGAACCAGAGAGGCGGAAGTCACAATGAGCCAAGATCGCACCACTGCACTCCACCCTGGGTGACAGAGCGAGACTCCGTCTCCAAAAAAAAATTAAAAAAAGAAATCTCCACTCCTGAAAGAGAGATTAAGATCAACAACTCTTCTGAAACAGATTTGTAAGAGATGTGAGGATACAGGACCACTCTCTGCCCTCTCCAAAATGAAGAGAGGACAGGTGAATACAGACAGCCACAATTTACTGGAACAGAAACTTAGGAGCTGAAACATGGGGAACCTGTGCCAGGCAGGGAAACCAGAACTGTAACTGACGACCTGCTGGAGACTCAGTGTGGAAAAGTCTCAGATGAAAACTCCAGGAGGACCCAGGTACTGGGTGGGGGTCCCTACGCTTTCGTGAATTTTACCTGCTGGAGCTCAGCCAGGTTCTCACAGTAAAGATCTGAGAAAAAATCCCAGATTTTTGTGTGTCTGGCAGGGAGAAGGGAAATAAACATTTTGAAATATACCACTTTGAAATAAATATAAGCATTCTGCTCTTAACAAGATCTTCCCCGAGGAGCAACTATTAGGCTCATGCCAGTATCCCAGCACTTTGGGAGGCCAAGGTGGGAGGATTGCTTAAGGTCAGAAGTTTGAGACCAGCCTGGGCAACAAAGTGAGATCTCATCTCTACAAAAGACTGTTTTTTTTTAGTTAGCCAGGTGTGGTGCTGCATGCCTGTAGTTCCAGCTACTTGGGGGTGCTGAGGCAGGAGGATGGTTTGAGCCTGAAGTTCACGGCTGCAGTAAGCTGTGATGGCACCACTGCACTCCAGACTGGGCAACAGAGGGAGACCCAGCCTTCCCTGACCAAAACAAACAGTTTAACCAGAGACTCATCTAATGAGGTTTCCTCAGAGCCTAACTGACCTGGGCAAAAAGAAACAATTTAACCCTTCAGAGCCTAATGCCTTCAGGGAAGGAAAATACCCACCTTCAGTTCCCTGCAGCCATCCCATCCTCTCCCACCTGAGGACTTGGGTGGGGTGGAGGGGAGCAACCTGAGCAGCACTGGGAAGTTCAGTCCAGGCACAGGCTCACCACAAGGCTGAGACCTCATCACGGGGCTGTCACGTGCTTCCCTGCCCCCACACCTTATCACCACATCACTAAAGCCTTATCCACTGCAGTTCCCTGCTCAGCCATACCATGCCCCATTTTCAAGAAACAAAATAACAGCACATACTCGAAGGCAAAAAAACAGTTTAAAGAGAGAGAGAACATGAATCAGAACCAGACTCAGACGGCAGGGACATTGGAATTATCAGACAGGGAGTTTAAAACCACTGCGATTCGTCTCTACTAAAAATACACAATTAGCTGGGCGTGGTGGCCCGCGCCCGTAATCCCAGCTACTCGGGAGGCTGAGGCAGGAGAATCACTTGAACCCAGGAGGTGGAGGTTGCAGTGAGCCAAGATGATGCCATTGCACTCCAGCCTGTGCAACAAGAGCGAAACTCCACCTCAAAAAAAAAAAGAAAGAAAAGAAAAAGAAAAAAAAAACAGAGAAGGAAATTACATAATGATAAAAAGTTTAATCCACCAAGACGGCATAGCAATCCTAAATGTGTATGCATTAAGAAACAGAGCTATAAAAATATGTGAAACAAAATGTGGAAGAAAATGAATAGAGAAATAGACAATTAGACAAGTGCACAATTGTAGTTGGAGGTTTCAACATCCCTCCCTCAACATCAGGACACAACTAGGCAGGATATCTGCAAGGAAATAGAATGATATTCAACACCACCAACAACCAAAAGGATCTAACAGACATTTGTCAAACACTTCAACCAACAACAGCATACATTCCTTTCAAGTGCCCAGAGAACATACACCCAATAGACCAATTTCCAGAGCATAAAACAAACTTCAACACATTTAGAAGAATTTTATCATACAGAATGTGTTCTCTGACCATGATGGAATCAAACTGGAAACAAGAACAGAAAGACAACATAAAAAACTTTTATACTTGGAAAATCAATAACACACTTCTACATAATCCATGGGTCCGTAGGAAGTCTTAAGGGAAATCAAAATGCATGGAAGGAATGAAGATGAAAATACAACATATCGAAATGTGTGGGGCACAGCTCTAAAGCAAGGCTGAGAAAGAATCAACCCAACAGGACTTCTTGCTGAGAAGCAAAACTTCGGGGAAAAAAGGAACATGACATAACTTGTCAATATCAGTAATGAAACAAGGGCTATTACACAAATCAGATCCTGCAGACATCAAAAAGATAAGAGAATACTCTATAAACATAAAATTTGACAACTTCAATGAAATATGCCAGTTCCTGAGAAACAAACAAAAAAAATCCCACAGACTGCCACAAATCACTTATATGAAATAAATAATTTGAATAGTCCTATACTATTAAATAAATTGAAATCAGCCAGAAGTGGTGGACACGCCTGTAATCCCAGCACATTTGGAGGCTGAGGCAGGTGGATCACAAGTCAAGAGTTCGAGACCAGCCTGGCCAACATGACAAAACCCCGTCTCTACTAAAAATATAAAAATTAGCCAGGTGTGGTGGCAGGCGCCTGTAATCCCAGCTACTCAGGAGGCTGAGGCAGGAGAATTGCTTGAACCTGGGAGGCAGAGGTTGCAGTGAGCCGAGATTGCGCCACTGCACTCCATCCTAGGTGACAAAATGAGACGCTGTCTCCAAACAAAAAGAAAACAAATTGAAATCATAATTTTAAGACTAAAAAAAATTTTTAGGCCAGATGCATTCAGTGGAGAATTCTATCAAGTGTTTAAAGCAAAATTTACTCCAAAATTAACACAATACCTTTCAGAAAATAGAAGAGGAGTCTGCAGGAACTCACTCTGAGCTGCTGGAATGCAGTGAGTCAGGGGGTTCCTGAGTGTGGAAATGTATTTGCTCCTCTTTTCTTCTGGCAGTCTCGGAAGCTCACAAGAGTCCTGCTGCTATCAAAAGCCCCGGATGTAATGTAGTCAGACCGTCTGAATCAGAGTGTTCTGATTACATTTGTTTTTTGTTTGAGATGGAGTCTCGCTCTGTTGCCCAGGCTGGAGTGCAGTGGTGTGATCTTGGCTCACTGCAACCTCTGCCTCCTGGGTTCAAGTGATTTTCCTTTTTCAGCCAACCGAGTAGCTGGGAGTACAGGTGCCCACCACCACGACTGGCTAATTTTTGTATTTTTAGTAGAGACAGGGTTTCACCATGTTGCCCAGGCTGGCCTCAAACTCCTAACCTCAAGTGATCCGCCTGCCTCAGCCTCCCAAAGTGCTGGGTTAATAGATGTAAGAACCGATGGTGGGAAAAAGCAGAACAGGGCTGTACACAGGGTGGTCAAGAATGCTGGGACTATGCTGCTGAGATTGTTTTCTGGCTTCAGAATCTCAGATGCTGGCCTGGGTGCCCTCATGGCCCCACTCAGAATGAAACTGGTATTTCAGGCACCATTCACTGCATAGCACCCAATTCTTCAGAATCATACCTTCATGTCAAGGGAGAGTATCAGTGAGCAGACAGCGAGGGACTGTGTGTACCTTCTTAAGTCAGTTTAAACTGAATGTCATTGGCCCAAGTGTAATCCTTGATTTTTTTTTTTTTGAGATGAAATCTCACTCTGTCACCCAGGCTGGAGTGCAATGGTGCAATCTCAGGTCACTGCAACCTCCGCCTCCTGGGTTCAAGCAATTCTCCTGCCTCAGCCTCCCGAGTAGCTGGGATTACAGGTCCTGCCACAATAATCAGCTCATTTTTGTATTTTTAGTAGAGAAGGGGTTTCATTATGGTGGCCAGGCTGGTCTCAAACTCCTGACCTCAAGTGATCCTCCCACCTTGGCCTCCCAAAGTGGTGGGATTACAGGCATGAGCCACTGCACCTGGCAATCCTTGATTCTTTACATGTCACCTAAAAAGATCACATTCTCTTCATTTCCATAGTCAAATTTCAGGCCGCATTCCCAATACCCTTGAAAATTGTCATAATCAAAATGGAGTCACTGAGGTTAAGAAAATCCTGACAAATAAAGCCAACGAAGGCCATGAAGAGAAGGTTCTCACACTTTTATGCCTGAGAATGAAAAAGACTCTACAAAAACCACAACATTGCACAAAGGCCATCACAACCTTACATAAAAAAACACTTCTGCAAGTACATCTGCCCAGCAACTGCCTGTCCAAACACAGCCTGGTATCGCCCTTATTATTGATCTTTGTAGCAAAGGATAATTTTTTGTTTGTTTGTTTTGTTTTGTGAGACACAGTCTCACTCTGCCGCCAGGATGGAGTGCAGTGGTGCGATCTCAGCTCACTGCAACCTCCACCTCCCGGGTTCAAGCAATTCTTCTGCCTCAGCCTCCCAAGTATCTGGGACTACAGGTGGGTGCCACCATGTCCAGCTAATTTTTGTATTTTTAGTAGGATGGGGTTTCACCATGTTGGCCAGGATGGTCTTGATCTCTTGACCTTGTGATTCGTCCACCTCGGCATCCCAAAGTGCTGGGATTACAGGCCTCATGAGCAACCACACCCGGCCGGATAATTATTTCAAAAACAATTATGTAATCTCCTCACTTTTCCCTTAAAATCCTTTGTCTTGCTTTACCTCTCTGAATATGGATATACTTTAACTACAGTATTTCCTGTTGCAATGTCCTATTCCCTAAAAAACACTTCCTTTAGAGAGCCTCTCTCTGTTTCTTATTTAGGTTGACAACCCATGTGGCCAGGAAGCCCCCTAAATGGGCTCTGTGCTTTCCACTTTAAGATCATCCAGGCCGGGCGCAGTGGCTCGCGCCTGTAATCCCAGCACTTTGGGAGGCCAAGGCAGGCAGATCACTTGAGGTCAGGAGTTCATAACCAGCCTGGCCAACATGGTGACATTACAGGCGCACACCACCATGCCTGGCTAATTTTTGTAGTTTTAGTAGAGACGGGGTTTCACCATATTGGTCAGGCTGGTCTCGAATTCCTGACCTCTGGTGATCCGCCCACCTTGGCCCCCCAAAAAACAATCCCCTAAAGCAAGAATGTTTCCAAGTAACTTAACAGCAAAGAGCAAAACCCATCCTTTGTTAAAGGAACACATAATGCCCAGACCCCCAAAATATAAAATGCACAATGCTGGTGTTAGCCGAAGAACATGAGATCCATGGAAGAAGGAAAGAAAACTTTCTCTTCAGAGGAAGAAGCAGTTCTCAGATTGGGGAACATGGCTTCCAGGGAAACCTGAAAGGGCATGCTTGGCAGAGGGAGGGGGAAGTTGGTATCTAGGTCTTCTAGGGTTAACCTTACATACAGATTGAGCAGGGTTGGAGAAATCTATGAATATTCATGAGGGAAGCCAGGGGGATGTGCAGTGGATAAACATGTTAACATTCCATGTTTACTTTGGGATGGGGTTTTAGTATTAAAATTATGTGGACTTTGTCTCTGTATGCCAGAAGGTGAACTGTAACCAGGCGCGGTGGCTCACGCCTGTAATCCCAGCTCTTTAGGAGGCCAAAGTGGGCGGATCACTTGAGGCCATGAGTTTGAGATCAGCCTGACCAACATGGCCAAACCCCATCTCTACTAAAAATACAAAAATTAGCTGGGCATGGTGGCGGGCACCTGTAATCCCAGCTACTCGGGAGGCTGAGGCAGGAGAATCACTTGAGCCCGGGAGGCGGAGGTTGCAGTGAGCCGAGATCGCGCCACTACACTCCAGCCTGTGGGACAGAGCAAGACTCTGTTTAAAAAAAATAAAAAAGTAGTGAACTGTAGTGCACAAAGACAGTTAGTCCACAGTCTCTATAATGGCCGAAACTGCCCTGAGGTTAGGGGCTATTTACCGGTAAACAATGCTTTTTTGGCCAGTCCTCTGTCCAGTTGGAGTTGTGTTGGGACCGTCAAGGCAGGCTCAATCAGCTGGGGTCAGGCAGTTTCCTAGGGTCAGCTGGGAAATTCTCCAGCTGTAGTTGTTTCCGCAATGCTTTTCAGGAGTTGGTTTCTGCTTAATTACAGGAAAGAACCTTACGGCAATTAACGCAGAAATATGTGCCTAACTCATCCTTCTGGCCATGAGATTCTGTTTTGGGTGTGTGTCTCATTTTAACCACAGGAAGTCCACTTCATCTGTATTCGGAAATGTTTTAACACTGACATTGGGACTCAGAAGTTGAAACCTCAAATATTGGCTCTGTGACATGCTGAAAATCCTTAGAAGCAGCCTCAGAATCAAGGCCCTTCTAATCTTATTTTATTCCTCTTCCAAGAGCAGGGAGGGACACTAGAATTTAGAAAGCTCCTTTCCAAAAGAAATGCAATGGTCTTTAGACTCCCTCCGTAGGGATCTCAAAAACCAGGAAAGATTAACCACCAGAGAGAAGATGGGGAGTCAGTCACCACCACATTCAGACAGACTTTTCCTCTATTCTTCTTAGGGCAGCTCCAAGAAGTTACCTAAGAAACTTTATCTGCATAACATGACAGTCTTTGGTGTGTGAACCATTGTCACACCAATTGTGAACCAATGTTCCTGTGAACCATTGTATGAGCACTGGACCTATTCATTCCCCCATTTCTCCTTCCCCCATGACATGGACATTTAAGTCTCAACCATCTGCCCCTCTGAGTTCACATTTTGTGTGGATCCCATGGGCACGTGTGCATGTAACAAATTTACCATGCTTTTCTCTTGTTAACCAGTTTTGTGTCACCTGTGATCCTTTACAATGGCGAGGAAAGAGATCACCCCCTTTCTGGCCCTACACTGGTCTTCTACCTAAAATTACCAGGCATGCAACAAGACAGAGCTAGAATTCACCGCTAGCAGAGAGAATAAAAAAGACTCAGATTGATGCGGATGGTGGAATTAGTGAAGAAAAGCTTTAAAACAGCTATTACGGCCGGGCACAGTGGCTCACACCTGTAGTCCCAGCATTTTGGGAGGACGAGGCAGGTGGATCACGAGGTCAGGAAATCAAGACCATCCTGGCTAACACGGTGAAACCCCATCTCTACTAAAAAAAATACAAAAAATTGGCCGGCCGTGGTGGTGGGCGCCTGTAGTCCCAGCTACTTGGGAGGCTGAGGCAGGAGAATGGCGTGAACCTGGGAGGCGGAGCTTGCAGTGAGCCGAGATGGCGCCACTGTACTCCAGCCTGGGAGACAGAACGAGATTCCATCTCAAAAAAAAAAAAAAAAAAAAAAAACAGAAAAAACAGCTATTACAATTAAGACTGCCTATGGTCAAGTGTGCAGAGGAAGCAGGAGTGTAAGATCATTGATGAATATAAAAAGGACTGGAAGAGAACTGCAAAATACAGTAACTGAAAAAAAAAAAATCAAAGAAGCCACGCTATCCCATTAAAACCAGGAATTCTAAAGCAATCGCACATCAAGCACTTCAGTATATTCCTCATAGTGAAATGAGAAAAGGAAGTCACAGGTGAAGTCTCACCCATTTCCCCACATGAAGTGTAAATCCTCATGTATATAGTTTACACACATCACTAGTAAGACTAGGATAACATTTCATGTCAAACAGGATTAAAATCAAAGCAACAGTCCCCAAACAGTTGACGTTCAAACACTAGAGCCACTCCCAAACCATCTGTACAAAATAAGGCTGTTTTTAACACCAACATGCCACATTGTCCAAGAAGCATTAGACGGCCGGGCATGGTGGCTCATGCCTGTAATCTCAGCACTTTGGGATGCCAAGGCAGGCGGATCATCTGAGATCAGGAGTTCAAGACCAGCCTGGCCAACACGGTGAAACCCCGTCTCTACTAAAAATACAAAAAAATTAACTGGGCGTGGTGGTGGGGCTACTCCTCCCCAGGTCCCTCTGTGGTTGCGGGGTAGTCACTGAGTGTGCAAAAAACGCACTAAAAGAGTATTGAAAAAAAGTAAAATTTGTACTTCAATCCATCAATCCTTACTTTCCTAGGGGCCAGTGTATCAAAGTGTTGGTTGACACGTTTTATGTCAGCTTTTCAATATCTGCACAAATTCCTGCCGGCATTTTTATTGGGATTGCCTTGCACTTATAGAGCAAGTTGGGGGAAATTGACATCTTAGCAATATCAACCTTCTGATCCATAAAAAGCTGTTGGCTTAAGTATTATTTGATCTTCATCAGAGTTTTGTAGTTTTCAGCATACGGATTCTGCACATATTTTGTTAAATTTATACCTGTGTACTTTATTTTGTCTTTTTTTTGGCTATTGTAAATGGTATTTTTATAATTTAAAATTCCAGTTGTTATATAACAAAGGTCTGCAAATAGTGACCCATGAGGCAGATCTGATTCCCCACCTGCTGCTTTTCTTTGGCTAAGAATCATTTTTCACGTTATTAAACAGTTGAAAAAATCAAAAGGCTAGCATTTTTGTGACCTGAGAAAACTGAAATTCAGATCTGAGTGGCCATAAATAAAGTGTTGCTAGAACACAGACACGCTCCCTTATTATTTACGTGTTGTCTATGGGTGCTTCCCATTACAAGAGCAGAGTTAGTTGCAACAGAGATCACATGGTTTACAAAAATAAAATATTTACTATTTTGCCCTTCAGAAAAAAAAAAAAAGTTGCCGGCTGGGCACAGTGGCTCACACCTGTAATCTCAACACTTTGGGAGGCCAAGGCGGGCGGATCGCGAGGTCACGAGACCAAGACCATCCTGGCCAATATGGTAAAACTCCGTCTCTACGAAAAATACAAAAATTAGCTGGGAGTGGTGGCATGTGCCTGTAATTCCACATACTTGGGAGGCTGAGGCAGGAGAATCACTTGAACCTGGGAGGTAGAGATTGCAGTGAGCTGAGATCACGCCATTGCATTCCAGCCTGGGCAACAAGAGCAAAACTCCACCTCAAAGAAAAAGAAAAAAGAAAAAGAAAAAGAAAAAGAAAAAAGGTTGCCCATTCCAGGTATAAAGGAATATTATTTATTTAGGTATATTGACTATGTATGGTTGCTAAACTTATTCATTACAATTCCAGGAATTTTTTTCTTTTTGTAGAGTCTTTGAGATTTTTCACATAGCTGTAACAGTACTGATTCCATGGTAAAGAAAAAAATTGCTTGATTGAATATAATTAATGCTTTCCTTAAGTTTATAGACTATTCGCCAATCTTCAGGTTTGTATTATTTCTTAGAATATGATCTGTCCAGATCAATGTTCCACGTACATTTTTTTTTTTTTGAGACGGAATCTCACTGTGTCACCCAGGCTGGAATGCAGTGGCACAATCTCGGCTCACTGCAACCTCCACCTCCTGGATTCAAGCGATTCTCCTACCTCAGCCTCCTGAGTAGCTTGGACTACAGAAGTGCACCACCACGCCTGGCTAATTTTTTTTGCATTTTAGTAGAGACGAGGTTTCACCATGTTGGCCAGGTTGGTCTCAAACTCCTGATTTCAGGTGATCCACCCCATCGGCCTCCCAAAGTGCTGGGATTACAGGCATGAGCTGCCACGCCTGGCCCCATGTACATTTGAAAATAATGTGTGTCCTGCTATTTTTGGATGGAGTGTTCTAAAAATACCAGTTAAGTTGGTTGCCAAGCTCTGTTCAGGCTGCCTTTATTTTTACTGAATTCTGGCTAGTCTCTCATTCAGTTAGTGAGAGAGAATGTTGAAATGCCAGCTATAATCGTGGATTTGTCTATTTTTCTTCTCAGTTCTTTCAGGTTTTGCCTCAAGTACTTTGAAGCTCTGTGTATGAAGGTGTGTACACATTTAGGATTATTAAGTCTTCTTGGAGAATTGATCACCTTTTCACTTGTAATGGCTCTCTTTATCCCTGATTATTTTCCTTGTTCTGAAGTCTAATTTGTTGGAAGTAAATACAGTGACATTAACTTTTTGGTTGGGTTTGTATGTACAGGGGAGTAAACGATAATTCCCCCTTTACCCTTCTGGTTCCTAGCTGGGATCCCTGTAAACAAAAGACAAATTAACAAGAAAAAAACAGAAGTTTAATAACATGTATACCTCTTATATACATGGGATATCCAGGGAATGAGTAATTCTCAAAGAGGTGGTCTAGGACCCCAGCTTATTTATATAGATTCTTCTTTTTCTTTCTTTTTTTTTTTTTTTTTTGAGATAAAGTCTCTCTGTCGCCTCGCTCAAGTGATCTGCCTGCCTCAGCCTGGCCCATGGTGTGAGCCACTATGTACCATATATAGATTTTTTTTTTTTTTTTTGAGATAGGACCTTCCTCTGTTGCCCAGGCTGGTCTTGAACTCCTGGCCTCAATCGATCCTCCCGCCCTGGCCTCCTAAAGTGCTGGGATTCTTCAATCAGCTAGGCCTAGATTCTTCAACTAAAACAAAGAAAAAAGGGTGTGACGGAGGCAAGTTATGGGGCCCTAGTGGAAGATAGAGGCTGGTTAGTCAAACGTGTTATGCAAATTCCTCTGGTTCCATCTCCAGGCTGGTAAGGGTCTACAGTCATCTCCAGTGACCAACCTTTGTCCTTCTTGGTATAGAGGGGAAGGACATCTTTGTAAATTTATGTCTTGCTTTCTGGCAGATGGGGGGAGGGGAGAGAGCTTTTCTTTTACTCATTTCTTCTCAATTGCCTTCAGCTGACAATAATCCTTATGTCAAAGCAGCCTATTTTGGGGGGGCATGTTCTGCCACCCTTCGCATGGTGACTGCAACCATGAATGTAATGGCTTTTCTGAGTTCTCTGGGTCCTCGTACTGGATCACTGAACACCCTCTTACCCAGGCTGGAGTGCAATGGTGCGATCTCGGCTCACTGCAACCTCCGCCTCCCTGATTCAAGCAATTCCTCTGCCTCAGCCTCCCGAGTAGCTGGGATTACAGGCACATGCCACCATGCCCAGCTAATTTTTTGTATCTTTAGTAGAGACGGGATGTCACCATGTTGGCCAGGCTGGTTTTGAACTCCTGACCCTATATTTTATTCTAAGAGTTATATAGTTTTAAATCACTTATATTTAGGTAACTGATCTACTTTGAGTTAATTGTTGTATGTACTATTAGGTAGGGTCCTAATTTTCTTCTCTGAATATGTTTTAAGATCGGGTTGACAGGATATGATGGATTGAATGTATATGTGTGAGAGAAGGATTCAGGGATGTCTCCATGGTGTTCGAGCACTGGGAGGATGTGATTGACTGATAGGGAAGATAACGAGCTCAGTTTGAATCTTCTGAGATGAAGATCATTGCTATCAGGAGACATTTAGCTATGAGTCTGGGGTTCTGTGTAAAAGGCTGGGCTGCAGAGTAGGGAGTACTAAGTGTACAAACAGTAAGTAAAGCCATGACACAGGGTGAAGTCACTATAAAGCTGAGAGTGAGGAGGAGAAACCAAAGGAAAAAAATTAACAGTTTAAATATAAAGACTTTGAGAACTCTAGCATTAGGAAGTCACAATCTAGGGGAGAAAGAGTGACCAGTGAGGCAGGAGAGGAATCAGGAGGGTGTGATGTCTTGGAAGGCAAGTGCAGGAGTGTTTCAAAGGGAGGGAGGGATCATCTGTGCCACATGATATGGAAGGATCAACTCAGATGAGGACTGAGAATTCACCATTGGATTTAGCAACGTGGGAGCAACTGGTGTTTTAGATTAAAACTCTTGGGGACAAGGATCAGAAGTTTGATTTGAGTGTGTTCAACAGTCAGGTGGTGGAGGGATGCTGGATACACACTGAGATTTTTGTAAAAGAAAAAGAAGATATTGGGTGGTAGTTGATGAGAAAAGTGGGTAAACTGAGGCTATTTTTTAAAAAGATGGGAGTTAATGTTTGTATAATGAAGTGAAAGAATCCAGTGGGAAGTGAAAGAGCGATGGTGCAGAAGAGAGGAGACAGTTGCTGCGACGGTATCATAGAGTAGGCTAGAAAAACGAGGTCACTGAAGACTCGGAAACCTGCTTTTTTACACGTCCCACAGATGGTTTTATGTACCAGCATTTTGGAACCACTTATAAACCAAAAACAAAAGTCTAAGGCCCCTCAACCATCTTAAGACCCCTCAGCCAGGGCTCTTAAAATGTAACCTGAGAGACTGGTTCAGGCCATCTTGGGGAGTGGGAGTCAGACATGCCTCTACACCCCTCCAGCATTAACATCAACACAGACATTAAGTCTGGTAAGAAATATTTTGCAACCTATTCTCTCTGAAGCCTGCTAGCTGAAAGCTTCATCTGCATGGTAAACCTTTGGTCTCCACAACCTCTCATCTTAACCCAGACATTTCTTTCTGTTTGATCCCAGGTCTTTAGACAAACTCAACCAATTGTTAACCTCCGCCTCCTGGATTCAAGTGATTCTCCTGCCTCAGCCTCCCGAGTGGGTGGGATTACAGGCTCCTGCCAACACGCCTGGCTATTTTTTTGTATTTTTTTTTAGGAGAGAAGGAGTTTCACTATGTTGGCCAGGCTGTTCTCAAACTCCTGACCTCGTGATCCACTCACCTTGGCCTCCCAAAGTGCTGGGATTACAGGCGTGAGCCACCGCGCCCAGCCTATCCCAGGAATTTAAATATTTATTTACTCCAACCATTTTCTTACATTTCTAATTATCTTATAAATATTTACACCTATGGATTCCATATGCTTATTATTATTGTATAGATAGACACAATTTATTTTCTGAAAATTACTACTACTAGTACCAGCAGAATGTGGTAGATGCATAGATGTGCTGCCTGGACCCTCCTTGGGGAGGACTTGCTGTCCAGTTGTGGGAGTTTGTTTAGAGCCTGGCTGGCTGCTTCAGGGTATGCCTGAGCCAAAGAGAGCACCCCCAGCGTTCAGGGCCTTCCCTGGGGAGCCCCCTCAGGTGCCTGAGGCCTGGGTATAAAGATCTGGCCATCTCTTCTTGGCCCAGCCAACTCTGAGGGGGCGATGCTTGTTCTGGCATCCTGGCTGGCTGGCAGAGGTTTTGCTGAGCCTGCAACGGTTTTGACTTCTGCCCAAGCCTGTTTCTGCTTGCTTTTTTCATGGGTTTATCCCTAGTAGGGTCCCTTGTACGCCTCAGGCCCTCCACTGCCTGCTCTGGATCACCTGGCCTACGACACAGAGTGCACATATTATTTCAAACCCTCATTTTACTTAATTTACCAATATTTTGTAAAGCCATTTCAATGACAAAATAGTCGTTTTACTACTTGAATAAGGATCTTAATGTGTTTAAACAGTTGCGTATTTTCTTAATTTTGCTACGATAACGAATGTTTCTGTTTAATTCTTTTTTACTACTCCTTTTTACACTTTATACAGAATCACAAGTCTTTTTCTGGGGTTGGGGGGTGGCAGTGTACGTGTGCAGGGGTTTGGAAACTTTGTGGCTTGGCCATGGATCTCATGGCCTGAGAGCCTCCTTAGTTTCACGGATGAGATTGGCCCTTGTGGAGTTCGAGTCCAACCCAGAACAAGGAACCCTGGGTCTCCTCCAAGTGCTGCAGCAAGCTGGCCTGGGGTCCCCCAAAAGGCAACCAGAGTCACGCCCAGGATCACCCAGTCTGCAGCAGGGTGCAAAGGTTTGGGGGTCCCCCACAAAGGCAGCCAGAGCCAAGCCCAGGGTCCCCCCAGCATCAGCAAGATCTACACCTTATACTATAAGACTCTGTATATACTTTATACAGTCTTACAAATAAATTCCTACAAGTGGAATAGCTAGATCGAAGTGTATGCATTTGGAGAAAGACTTTTTTTTTTGACACATGACACATTTTGCTTGTTTACTATGTTTTCTCTCCATCAGAATGAAAGCTCATTGAGGGGAGGGACTTTGGTCTATTGTCTGTATTCCCTGGTGACTCGAATTGTACCTGTATGCAACAGACACTCAATAAATATTTTCTTTGTAGACTGGGTAGACATGAGTTAGATCTTTGATGCTTCTGAGGAGTCTGGTTTGGGCAAGAGGGTGCTAGGGAGAAACTGCTCCCTGCAATCTCCCCATTTTCATCTTTCAGTGTTGAAAAGTGGGGAGGAGGTGGATTCAGTTTGCTCGAAGACAGAGCCAGTGGGGCGCAGAGGTGCTCAGAGCAGCCTTTGGGAAAGTGTAGGGGAAGCTGGATTCCTGACTGCCAGCCTTTGGGCCTGGGTTGGACCTAGGACCCTGAGACAGGACATACAACATCTGTGGGAGTCACCTGCTAGTCGCCAGCTCACTGAGGAACCGAAGAATATACTGTTCTTGGTCTGAAGGCACTTGGAGAAGGAGAGGAAGAAGGGAGGGGGCTGAATCTCTTCTCACCCCCATCTCTGCCAGATCCCAGACCCCCCTGGGCCTCTGTCCCACACAGACCAGCCTAAAAGACGTCAAAGGCCCAGGAGCCCTGGCCAGGGTGGGGGTCACCATTTTGCAGCCATAGGTTTGGAGTGCTGACTCCAGCAGAGGCATCTGGCCAGTGGCTTGAGGTGCTGTGTCTGACATGGTTGCTGGCCATAGAGGGCCTCGGGGCCGTCCTGAGCTCAGACCTTGCCTGCTGGCTGCTGGGATGGCTGCTTCTGCAGCAGGGGCAGGGTGTCCCGCTTCTCAGTGGAGCACAGCTGCTGTGTCCTCACCAGCTTGAGCTTGGTGGGGCTTTGGATCACTTGGACAATCTCTGCCTTCCACTCGTTCTATAGGTGATGTTTCAGGTTCTTGGGCCCAGCGCTGTTTCTTCTCCTGGCAGTGCCTTTCCTTCTCCTCCTCCAGGTTAGGGGCAGAATCCTTGGCAAGCTTCCTTTCCTGCTGTTCCTTCATCTTCCACTGCCAGGATGTGTGCAGGGGCTTGTCCTGAACCATCTGGGATAACTTTTTCTTGCAGTAGTCCTTCCACATCCTCCCGCAATGTGGGCTTCCCCTTCTGGATTATAGGAAACTCCTCCTCCTCCTCCTTCGACTTCTTGGATACTGGAGCCTGGACTGAAGAACCTTTTTCCTTCTTTGCCCCATGGCCGCCTGTTACCTCTCCCCAGCTAGAGGCAGCTTGCTTGGCTCCTGCTGACCCCAGCAGGGAGCCAGGTGCCTTGGGTGTCAGCTCCCGTACTGGCCGTGACGGCTCTGAACTCGGCACCTGCTGACTGGGGTAAGGCTCTGGTGATCCTGGGCCCGGGTATAGGTGCTCATGCCACCCCCACCCCCCGAGTCAGCTCCTCTGGACTCTGGGCCCACTCGGAGGCTGGTTCTCCCTGGCCCTGAGAACACCGTGGTGCCTCCTCACTTGGCTTTGGCTGACATTGTGGGGATTTGGAGCTAGACTCTGGCTGTCTTTGAGGTGACTCCAGGTGTAGATCTTGCTGATGCTCGGGGGACCCTGGGCTTGGCTCTGGCTGCCTTTGTGGGGGACCCCCAAACCTTTGCACCCTGCTGCAGACTGGGTGATCCTGGGCTTGTCTCTGGCTACCTTTGGGGGGACCCCAGGCCAGCTTGCTGCAACACTTGGAGAAGACCCAGGCTTCCTTGTTTCTTCTGGGTTGGACTCAAACTCCACAAGGGCCAATCTCGCCCATGAAACTGAGGTGAGACTCTCACGCCATGAGATCCACGGCCAAGCCACAAAGTTTCGAAACCCCTGCACACGTACACCGCACCCCCTGCCCCACCCCAGAGAAAGACTTTTGATTCCTAGTTCCCAAAGGCTCTCAGGGACCGGGCCTGGTGGCTCATGCCTGTAACCCAGCACTTTGGGAACTCAAGGCTCGAGGATTACTTGAGGATAGGAGTTCGAGACCAACCTAAGCAACATAGTGAGACCCTGCCTCTGCAAAAAAACAAACTACCCCTCAAAAACAAAACAAAACAAACCAAGAAACCTCTCCCAGGGCCAGCACCCACTTTCCTTTCTCCTCTGGCAGTGTATGGCAGTGCCAGTTTCCGTGTGCCCCCGCCAGCCCTGAGCATTATCTATTTTTAAAACGTTTCCCTATCTGAGAGGAAAGACATTATTCCATTGCTCTAGTTTGCCCATTAGCCCTGCACACCCCCAGCCACCTCTGTGATTTGCCTGCTTGGGTACTGAATGTCACCAGCCTTAAGGTTCTCCCGTCACTGAGGCCAGCATGCACTGACCACCAGGAGGCACTGCTCCCCTGCCAATGTCCTCTGGTCGCACCTGCTCCAGGACACTCAGCAGCTGCGTTTCTGAGCCAAGGCTGCAGAGTTCCACACTGGCTTTACAATCAGTAAAGGGCATCAATACCCTGAGGCGGGGACTCAGGTTTCTAGGATGTTGTTGTCGCCTCCAGCTCGATTTCAACTATGGTCAGTTGGAGCCAGGGTGGGGAATCTGCAGCTTGCAGAGGGGACTACTGCGCCTCCTGCCTGAGGCAGGCTGGAGGGTGGAGGCGGGCTGGGGGGGTCGTTGTCCTCGCAGCGTTTAAGGCGAGTCTGGGACAGGACCCCACCACCCCCTCCAGATCTGTGGCATCCTCCAGGACTCCAGCGCAGGACGCGCTCCAGGAGCCTTGCTACTTCAGGGCCTCCAGTGGGCGCAGTCGCGGTGCCCGCCCGGCTCCTTTATCAGAAAGGGCGTCTGTGGGATGTGGAGCCGGGAGGCTCCTGGATCACGTCATCTCTTGCTCCTCACAGATATGCAAGGGAAAATGGAGGCTCCCAGGGCCCGGTTAACTCGCTCTCTTGACAAAGAACGTCCTGGACCGGACTCCAGCCAGGCCCCTCTGAGCCCCGTTCTCCACCAGGCCCCACCCAGCCTTGGCCTATGGAGACTTCAGCAAACACTAACAGTTACCAGCGCTGGAGGCCACACCCCTCAGATAACGCGGGCGCCCCTTAGTTGCCTGCCTGAGAAAACTGGATGCTGCCAAAGGGATGTAGTTTGTTCTGGCTGGCACCTGGGACAAGGCCTCTGTCTCCCGTCCCTCTGGGAGGATGACAGTTTCCAGACCGGGAGCAGCACTGGGGCCAACAGCACTCAACCAACCCTTTGCAATTTGTCACCTTCCTGACTCTACTGAGCGCCCCCCAACCCCTTCCTTATTCCCTCATTCTCCCTTTGAAACTCAAAGTCACCTCTACAAATCCAAGTTCAGTCCAGCTCAGGCTGGATTCTTCCCCAGTGCAACAGTTGGTACTGATGAAAATCTTCCCTTACCCCTGTAATTGGAGACTGATTTTGTTTCTCTTTGACATGTGGCATACTGAGTGGTAGAGTCAGGATCCAACCCACTTCTGCCTGAACAACGCCCCTCTCCCTCTTTCAGACCATCCTCCAGCTTCTACTTGATCCCCCCCTTCAACCTGTAAATCTCAGTCACCAACTAGAATTGCTAGCCACCAGCTGGAATCGCTAGCCACCAGCTGGAATCGCTAGCCACCAGCTGGAATCGCTAGCCACCAGCTGGAATCGCTAGCCACCGACTGGAATCGCTAGTCACCGACTAGAATCACTGCACCAGTTACTTAGAGCAACAACAACAACTTACTGGAAAAAGATTTATTTTTTTGTTGTATTTTGTGCTTTTTCTGCCATGTTTTGCCCAGGCTTTGTTTGCCCATCCTCTGATCCTCTATTAGGATATTAAAAAAATTAATATGCCTTTTTTGAACAGTTTTAAGTTTATAGAAAAATTGAGCTGAAAGTACAGTTTCCACATACCCTTCCCCTCACGGTTTTCTCTTTATGAACATCTTTCTAAGTATGGTACATATTCAAATTACTGAGCCAATATCAGTACATTATCATTCACCAAAGTCCATCTTTTATGTTAGGGTTTACTCCTTGGGTTGTACGTTTCATGGATTTTGACAGATGCATGATGACGTGTATCCACGATTACAGTCATACAGGATGTTTCACTACCCTAAAAATTCTTTATGCTGCCTAGTTTTGCCTTTTCCAGGATGTCATGTTTGGAGTGATTCAAGTGATTCTTCTGCCTCAGCCTCCCGAGTAGCTGGGATTACAGGCACCCACCACCATGGCCAGCTAACTTTATACATATATATGTGTGTGTGTGTGTGTGTGTGTGTTTAATATATATTTTTAGACAGAGTTTCACTTTTGTCACCCAGCTGGAGTGCAAAGGCATGATCTCGGCTGACTGTAACCTCCACCTCCCAGGTTCAAGTGATTCTCCTTCCCTAGCCTCCTGAGTAGCTGGGATTATAGGTGCTCACCACCACACCGGGCTAATTTTTGTATTTTTAGTAGAGATGGGGTTTCATCATGTTTGCCAGGCTGGTCTTGAACTCCTGACCTCAGGTGATCCACCTGCCTTGGCCTCCCAAAGTGCTGGGATTACAGGCATGAGCCACCATGCCTAGCCAACTTTTTGTATTTTTAGTAGAGATGGGGTTTCACCATGTTGCCCAGGCTGGTGTCAAACTTCTGACCTCAAGTGATCTGCCCACCTCAACCTCCCAGAGTGCTGGGACGACAGGTGTGAGCCACTTTGCCCGGCCCAGCAATTGACTCTGTCGCCCAGGCTGGAGTTCAGTGGCGTGATCTCAGCTCACTGCAACCTCCACCTCCCGGGTTCAAGCGATTCTCCTGCCTCAGCTTCCTGGGTAGCCGGCGGCCTTGCTTCTCACTGGCCACTGTAAAATGCAGTTCGGTCAGAAATATAAACTGCTCCTGACTGGTTCTATTCTTTCCACATGTTCCATATCTTTTCCTGGTCCTGTTTTTGTAGTTTCTGTTTGTTTTACTATATATGGTCATTACTAATCTTTTCTTTTTGCAATTATAACAAACTTCTGTAGGTGGTAAAGTATGCAGTAGGATGTGAGCTCAGTCTTTACTGAATAAGAAGAGGAAGGAAACATTAGCCAGGTGTGGTGGTGCACGCCTGTAATCCGTAATCTTAGCTATTTGGGAGTGGTGCCGAGATTGCACCACCGCATTCCAGCCTGGGTGACAGAGAGAGACTCCTTCTCAGAAAAAAGAAAAAAAAATATATATATATACACACACATGCACATATATATGTGTGTATATACATATACATACACACACTTATATGTATGTATATATAAATCTTCATGACCTTGGATTTTGCAATGTATTCTTAGATACCACATCCAAAGCAAGAGTAACACAAGAAAAAATAAGTTGGACTTCATCAAAATTAAAAACTTTTTTGCATCAAAGGACATTATCAAGAAAGGTAAAAGACAAGTACTACAGTCTGAAGGGTTATGTTTCTCCAAAATTGCTGAAATCTTCACCCCCAATGTGATAGTATTCAGAGGTGGTGTTTTGGGAAGGAGATTAAGTCATGATGGCTCTGCACTTACGAATGAGATTAGTTCCCTTATAGAATAGGACCCAAAGAGCTTCCTTGCCCCTTCTGCCATGCAAGGTTACAGTGAAAACACAGCCATCTATGATGGAGCAGGCCCTCCCCAGACACTGAATCTGCAAGTGCTTTGATCTTGGACTTCCCAACCTCTAGAACTGTGAGAAATAAATTCCTGTTGTTTATAAACCACCCAATCTATGGGTTTTATTATAGTAGTCCAGACAGACTAAAACAACCACCTAAGCACGAGAAAAAATATTTGTCAAGCCATGTATCTGATGATAATCTAGTATCCAGAATATACAAAGAATACTTATGACTCAAAAACTAAAAGGCAAACAACAAATTAAAAAATGGGCAAATAATTTGAATAGATATTTCTCCAAACAAGGTATACAAGCTATATATGTGTATGTGCATAAATATAAGTATATATATATATGTATATGTGTACATAGATATATGTAGTATACAGCATCACTAGTCATTACGGAAATACAAATCAAACAACAACAAGGTACTATTTCACACCTACTAGGATACAATCAAAATAAATGTAAAATAACAAGTGATAAATATGCGGAGAAACAAATCCTTTTACATTGCTAGTGAGAATGCAAAATGGTTCGGATGCTTATTCTCTTCTTTCTTTTAAGAATGTGTTCTTTACCATTCTATTCAATGGCTTACATATCTGCATATTTTCTTGGGCTGTCTACATGATATACAAATATTTGGACACAGACAGAAAAATAAATCGCTCATCTAAAAGCTTTTCAATCTGACACATAAATTTAGTTTATTTGAAAACGGAATGTTCAAGTGTTACAACTTTTACTATGGTTCACGTTTGTTAATATTTGCTAATATCCTAAAAACAAAAACAAAACCCCCAAAATAATTTGATTTTATAATGTAAACATCTGATGTCTGAATTAATCAATAAAATATTTTTTGTGTTTTAAATAATTGTATTCTATTGTATTTTGGTGCTGCGTAATTTCATAATAAATACTAGCCGATGCTCGTCAGAGGTAAACTAGTGAATTATCATCCCGTTAAGATAAACTTTGTTTCTGCTAAGAAACATCTTAATTTAAATTAGGAATTTAATGTAGGAATTTACTAAATCAAGTACTAAGATTTTATTTCTCTTACTCAATGGAGAATATATGTAAAATTCAAATACATTCAATTACTCAATTTATTCTTTACTATCATGAGAATATAGACAGCATATTTTACACAGAGCATAACAAAGCTTTACCTTCATTGAATTACAAGTAAAATATATGTATATGTAAATAAACATATATAATTTAGATATTAAATGACAGAATTCACTTATTTACCTGTGCGAGATGGAATGTGATTCTAGCAATCATTCCAGGTACAATAACTGGTTGAAAATGGGACATGGGCTGGGCGCCATGGGTCACGCCTGTAATCCCAGCACTTTGGGAGGCTGAGGCGGGTGGATCATGATGTCAGGAGTTCAGGACCAGCCTGGCCAAGATGGTGAAATCCTGTCTCTACTAAAAATACAAAAATTAGCCGGGCATGGTGGCGGGTGCCTGTAATCCCAGCTACTCGGGAGGCTGAGGCAGGAGAATCACTTGAACCCAGGAGGCAGAGATTGCAGTGAGCCAAGCGCTACTGCACTCTAGCCTGGGCGACAGAGTGAGACTCCGTCTCAAAAAAAAAAGAAAAGAAAATGGGACATGAAGTAAATTGATATGATTAAAAGAAACTACATCAAGTGAATTCACTATAATGTCTCCAAGCAAGGCAAGACCACCCTCTTGAGATAAGGAATGAGAGGCTACTTATTTTGACCAAGTTAGCTCAATGATTTGGGGAACCAAGGACTACATGGATACTCATTTTGTTCCCCCACCCACCCCCGCCACCACCAAAAAAATACTTGAGAACCCATTATTTCCCAATTCATGCTTCTACTTTCACATAAAAGTTGATACTCCAAAATCAACTTAAATTTTATTAACCAAATACAATCTTCCTAAAGACAAAGAGAAACATTTCACAAGAGTTAAGCCAACAGAAAGATAGGGAATATGAAACAACAAAGAACATCAATAAACCAAAATTAAATGTTTGGAAAGATAACAAAATTGGCAAATGTTTATTTAGGCTAAACAAGAAAAAAAAAGAAGAGAATCAAATTACTAAAATCATCAATAAAAAAGAACACCATCACTGCCAGTATTACAAAACAAAAATGATTAAAAGAGAATGCAATGAAAATCTTATGCCAAAAAAATTAAGATAGCCTAGATAGAATGGATGAAGTCCTAGAAAGAGACAAACTAAAATAGAGTAAAAGAGAAATAGAAAATATAAATAGATCTACAGAAGGTTAAAAGATCAGATAGTAATTTTAAAAACTTACAATAAAAATCCTATCTCAGGGAGCTTCCCAGGTGAATTCTATCAAACACTCTGAGAAATTAATATCAATTGTTCACCAACTGTTGCAGAAAATAAAAGGGGAGAGAACACCTCCCAATTCATTTTATAAAGCCAGGATTACTCTGACACCAAAACAATATCACAAAACAATGTAGACCAGTATCTTTCATTGTTTTATAAAATCAAACATATTCAACAAAACACTGCCAAATGAACTCCAGCAACATATAGATAATGCACTACATGCAAATGTGTTTTACCCCAGGAATGCACCATTAATATTTGAAAAATCAATGGATGCAAACACCTCATTAATAGAATAAAAAACAAATATATGAGCATCTCAACAGAAATAAAGCATTTGAGAAAAACCGTATTTTTTGCAAACCTTCTCTCCCTCCCGCTCACCCCCCATTACTCTCTCATCACTCTTTTTCCATCTACCCAAAAACGTTTTCCCCACTGTCTTTCTGCAAAACCTTCTCTCCCTCTTGTTCACCACCCGTTTTTCCCCCTCCACGTACCCCCCCCCCAATTGTTTTTCCCACCATTTTTCCTGACCGTCTTTTTGCAATGCCTTCTCCTGCTCGCCATCCTCTTTTCCCTTTGGCACTAAGCACTCTCTGTACCCCTCCATCTATCCCAAAACTATTTTCCCCTTCCTACCGCTCCAGCTTCACTGCAGTCTCTGCCGCCATCAACCACAGCGAAGCGAGCCGCGGTGCCAAAAGCTATAAGCCTCAAGCATGCGGTGGTGGCTATCCCTGGTCCTGGTCCTCTAAGCTGGGCACAGAGAAGCTCGCTGAGCAGACACAGCCTGGAATGGCCTGACTCCCCTTCAGCACTATTTATACACAGAGGTTATGCATATGAGGTTCCTGGACTACATGTTCTGATTGGATATGAGAAAAACCAGAGGCCTACTCTGATTGGACTTTATTATCATGTTCTGATTGGATGAGAGCAAGTCTCAGGACAACCAATCAGAGTGTGAAAATAAAGTCCAATCAGAGAAGGCCCAGAGGTTTTCTCTCATCCAATCAGAATATGTAGTCTAGAAACCATTCTCATAAGCCCATGTGCATGCTGAGGAGGCCTCCCGTCATTTTAGGCTGTTGTGTATCAGTTAGCAGAGCTACTTTGTTTCCCGCTTGGAGGACCTGGAGAAGGGGAGCTCAGCCACGTGCTGCACGCCGGAGGCTGGAGCCTTGCAGCACCGCGGCTCGCCTCCCTGCAGTTGGTGGTGGTGAGGGAGAATGCAGTGTGCGGCAGAGTGTAGGAGGGCGGCCGGAGCGGTAGAAGGATGGCCGGCAGGAAGAGCTGCTCCTGACCGGCTAGAGGACGAGAAGCGGGGACCACTTGTGCATGCTGGAGGCTGGAGCGTTTGCCACTGAGGCCTGCCTGGCTGCGGTTGGTGGTGGTGATGGGAGACTGAAGCTCAGTTACAGTGGTAGAAAGGTGGTGGGGTAGGTTCGCTGTCTGTGGCTGCACTGCCTGCCTGGGGAGGCAGATTTGGTGTGCTGTTGGGTCTGCACTGCCTGCCGTGGGGGACTGGTGGTGGAGTGCTATCCAGCTTTGCGGTGCTGGCGGTGGGTGGTGGGAGGGGTTGGCTGCGCTATCTGGGCCTGCACTGCCCAAGGTGGGGTGAGGGGGGGGTTGGAGGCAGGTTGTGTGAGCTATTGTGCACTGCCGGCGGCGGGGAGGGTGGGTTAGGGGAGCTATCAGCTGCTGCACTGCCCAAGGCAGAGGGCCGGTTGGGTAAGCTATCCCAGGTTACAATCCCAGCAACAATGCCAGCCAACAGTTGGGGGCTGTTTAGGGGAGCTGTCAGGTGCTGCACTGCTGGGGGAGGGGGGGGAGGTGGGGGGGTGGTTGATTGGGTGCACTATCCCGGGCGTTCACTGCCTGTGATGGGAGCAGGTTGGGGGCACTATCTGGGGCTGTGCTGCCCGGGGGTGGGGGAAGAGGGGAAAGAGCAGGTTGGGGGCGCTATTGGGTGCTGCAATGCCTGTGGCAGGGATGGGTTGTGGACACTATCGGGTGCTACACTGCCAGCGCTGCCAGCGGCAGAGGGGTGGTTTGGGGGTGCTATCAGGGTTACATTGCCAACAGCTGGCTCTGGGTATGTCATGGGTGCAGTCTGAGGGCTACGCTGCTGGCACTAGGGGCCAGGTTGGGGCGGTATTGGAGGCGCTGCACTGCTGCTGCCGGCAGTGGGTTGTGGAGGTGGCCGGTACAGCAGTGGCCTCCGAGGAAGGGGCCCTTCTCTTCCTAGAGTCAAGGCTGTAGAGGGTGAAATTCTCCTGCTCGTGTTGGAGCGTGGCAGGCGCACAGAGTTTTCGCAGCAATTCTCTGAGCACAGCAGGGTCCCCACACCCACTGTGGTTCCCCAGCCCTCGCCCTTTTGTTCGTGTTGCGGAGACCATCTGGGACCCCTGGGCATGGAATAGTGGGCACCACAGGGGCTCAGGGCCCTGTGGGTGGTGGAGTCAGGAGTGAGAACCGGTACTTGGGTGGGGAGGACTGGCTGGGTCGGAGTTTCTGCTGTTCCTACTCCCCAAGGAGCGCCGGGCACTGTGGTGTCTCCAGTCCCCATCCCAGGTCAGGAGGCCAGCTTGGGCCAGGAGGAGAGGTTGGACTTCAGAGGGTGGGTGTGAGTGCCTTCGCTGAAACCAGCCCTTGCCACCCAGTGGCCAGCATGACTAGGTGCGGCTCTAACGCTGCCACTTTCTGCATCCTGTTTTGGGGTTTTTTGGCTTTGCCCACCCAGGTGCTCCAAGCCAGGCTGGAGGAGGAGGTGAAGGAGGAGTTACCTATGGTGAGCTGGAGCCTGGAGTTTGCAGATGGCACAGCTCTGTGGCTCGCCTCCTGCGGTTGTGGCGACAGCAATGGAGACTGCAGCTCGGCAGGAGTGGTAGGAGGGCGCCCGTGTTGGCCAGGTGGTAGGAGCCTTGTAGGGTGGGCCGGTGGATGGAAGGTGACAGCACTGCTGGTTGCGTTGGCGTCGGTGCTAATGGTGGCAGCAGCAGCAAATCTGGGGCCTGGGAAGGGGGAGTAGGAGCACTTTGGGGCCTAGCCTGGCCTGGCATGGGTAGGAAGCTGCCGGTTCTGTACCGCAGCCCTCGGTGACAGACGGAGGCGTAGCCAGGGCAAGGAGGAGTCCTCTCTTTTCTCCTGCAGTCTCTGGAGGGTGCCCTCCTCCTGCTGGCATCTGAGCCAGCTGTGAGTGGCAGCATTGCCTCATTCTTACACAAATAGTCAACCCCTAAATTTTGTTACTTTTTTCTTGTTTTTTGTTCTGATAGTCTTCGATTTTTTTAATTTCATGAATCGGGGAGGGGAAAAAAGGTATCATAACAGGCCTTCTAATTCTTGCACCTGGTCTTTTACCTTTCTTTCAGTCTAATCTTATCATCATCATCATCGTGTTCTTCATTTTCTTATACTGCTGCTTATATTTCTTGTTTTTATGCTTGTTTCTCAACCTCCTCCTCTTGTTTCCTTTATCCCAAGGAATGGCCTTAACAAACCAAAACCGAGTTAAAAGCTACTCGTCACTGTGTTATATTTTCAAAATAATCAGCCTCTTACTTTGGAGCTGGTGGAGAGAGAGATTGAGAGGGTGCGAGTCACCTCTGGAAGGCTGGGATTTGTTTTTACTGAGAAGAAAATAGGTTCTTTGTTATCACAAGCCTTGTGTGACACCAGCAGCTCCTCCTTGCTCCACTCTCACAAACCACAGCACCCAGACTGGTGAGTCCAAACACACATGCACACACACATATACACACACATTACATTCATGTGCACACATGTTCATGTGCACATATAAATACATGCTCATATACTCAAGATAGACATTCACATGTGTACACACATTGCACACTTGTGTGTGCATATGCATACAAGTACTTGCACACCGATACAGGCACACACACACTCACACACATTAACATTTCCTTTTTAACGTTTTCTGTTTGCCCCTGGTGAAACGAGGGCCAGAAGACACTGTTCCACCATTGTGATGCCGTCAGTAGGCAGACTAGGGGAAATGTGGTCACAGCCATGGTGCCAAGTTTTGAACTCAGCCTCTGAGCTGAGCCTGGATCCATAGACGTTTCCCAATGTTCCTCTGCTGCCTCCACACCCCATCCGCAATACCAGCCCCCCGTGGAGGGTCAGGAGCTGTGTGTGCAAGTGGACATTATTGTAGATGCTTCTGTAATGAGGACGTGCAGGAGAAATAAAGAATTTCTGTGTTAAACACTCTCAGCCTTCCTCTGCCGTTTAGCAAAAATTCCCAGGAGAGTGATGACGGGACAGAAACAGGAGTGAGAAACAGGAAGAATGGACAAGATGATTAGAAGGCTGAACGAAGGAGAGAGCAAGCTAAGATGAGAAAAAGCACTGCAGAAAACATTCTGAAGGAGAGAGGAGGGGCAGATGGGGGAACAAGGAGCAGGTGGAGAGTGAGATTGAGAGGGTGCGAGTCACCGCTAGAAGGCTGGGATTTGTTTTTACTGGGAAGAAAAAATGTTTTCTGTTATCGCAAGCCTTGTGTGACACCAGCAGCTCCTCGCCCCACTCTCACAAACCAGCCCCCAGACTAGTGAGTGCAAACACACACGCACACACTTATATACATACACATGTACACTTATGTGCACACAGATACTAACATGCTCATATACTCAAGATACACATACATTCACATGCACACATAGACATGTACTCACATGCACACTCGTGTGTGCACATACACACTCACATGTACACGCACACCCATACAGGCAGGCGCACACACACACATTAGCATTTCCTGTTTAACATTTTCTGTTTGCCTCGGGTGAAACTGAGTACCAGGAAATACTGCCCCACTGTTGTGATGCAGTCAGTAGGCAAGCTGGGGGGAGTTTGGTTACAGCCATGGTGCCAGGTTTTGAAGAGGTTTATGCTAGTTTGGATTTCTTGGCATGAGCTAGATCTTCCCTGACAGTGGCATCTGGCCCCAGCTCCATGCAGTCCTCACCAAGTCCCATTGCCTGTGCATCCTATGTTTCATCTTCCAAAGCTGGCTTCAGCAGTGGCCTGTGAAGTTGGCTGCAGAACCATGGAAGTGTGGAAATAGAGATCAGAACTTTACATAACTGTATTTTATCTCACTTTTTAAAATTCCCTATTCTTTTGTATATGCTTAATAATGTTTATATTAGTGGAGTCGAGCATTTAAGCGATCATTAAATAAAAATACAATACGGCTGCATGCTCAGAAAGATTTTGCTTCTAGCTACGTTGCCAGGGAAGCCTGGTGGTCATTTTTGTCTGTCTTTTCTTGGACAATCTTTTGGTTCCTTTTCCAGTTCAGTCAAGTGTCAAGAGAGTTCTCATCTCTCTTCCTTCTAACCCCATGATTAAAAATCTTCAGTAGCTTCCCAGTGTTTTTAATACAGTCATGAATACGAGTGTCTTGTCTTTTTTTTTTTTTTTTGAGACAGAGTCTCACTCTGTTGCTCAGGCTGGAGTGCAGTGGCGCGATCTCGGCTCACTGCAAGCTCCACCTCCCAGGTTCATGCCATTCTCTTGCCTCAGCCTCCCGTAGCTGGACTACAGGCACCCGCCACCATGCCTGGCTAATTTTTTGTGTTTTTAGCAGAGATGGGGTTTCACCGTGTTAGCCAGGATGGTCTCAATCTCCTGACCTCGTGATCCACCCGCCTTGACCTCCCAAAGTCCTGGGATTACAGGCGTGAGCCACCGTGCCCGGCTGAGTGCCTTTTCTTAAAATATGTAAGATTTGTCTTGCATCTTTTCAGCCTTATCTCTTTGTACTCCGTCACTAGCACCCTGGGCTTTGAATCTCTGGGATGAGGCTCCATCCTGCAGTCTGTTTTCCCCTTGCTTGGTAAAACAACTTCTTTATCCTCATTGCCCACCTGTTTAACCTTGACTCATTCACTGGGACTCTACTTAAGTAACATATTCTCCGGTAGTTCTTTCCTGATCCCATAGTCTTGCTAACTAGTCCCATAGCATCTTGCATTTTTGGTGACTACAAGAGAGCAGGGATCGTGCCCGGGTTGTCCAAATCCAGTGGTGTGCTGGTAAATGCTTAACAACTGACTCACTGAAAAACACAAAACTTGGCTTGTAGTATTTGCACATTTCTGTGTTGTAGGTAAGGATATCATGGCCAGATTCAAGCTACCAAGCTGATGTCACTGATGAGTTGGGACGAGATGGATGCTAGCACACCATCCTAGGATAATTCTACCATACAGATTGAGTAGATGCACCATGAACATAGATAATAAAATATACTGAAATAATTAGAATATGAGGAGTCTTAAGTATTATTGTTTTAATATAATTTAGTTGGAAGTTTATAGAATGCATTTTAATGATGACTTTATTAAGAATAAACTCTCAGAAGTTCCTGAAAATGTAATAACCTGTTCTCATGCAATGGTATGAGCCAGGACTAGAGATCCCTTGTGTCAAGTACAGACAGGTCACATTTTTTGCATTGATGGCAGACATTGGAATAAGCCAACATGTATATGTGCTGCCATTTCTTGGAATTTACTGTGCCTTTGAATTATCGACTTACTCTGGTAGATCTGGGATGTTTTGCATTATACTAGCGTTTATATGAGAATGTGTATACAAAAGAGAAATATATACAAGTGCAACTAGATACTCAAGGACACTCCAGTAGTGCAACTGATTTACTAAGGCATTAACATTGATCTAGTGAAGTTTAATGACAAGCGATTGGCTCAGATAAATAAATGATAAAACATTAATCTTGCTCTGTTGGGTAGGCAAAGTGGAAGGAACAATGGTAACATTTTATTGCTCAGAATCCCCATTTTGCTTTTCATCTCCTTATTTACCAATCATTAAGAGGTGAATTATCAGAAACACACTTTAGTAGTATTTGCTTGCAGCTAGTTAATTGGTAGTTTTGACTGAATTACTTTAGTTCAACACAAATTCCTAAATGGATTAAACATTTGACTGAAAAGATTCTTTAGAAGAAAATACAGACTATTTCACAAGATTATAATGACATATTGTGTGGAAATGTTTAAAGGGCACTCAACACATTTCTGTTAATCCAAGTAAATGTTCCTAACATGGATATAAGAGTAAATGCCTCCAGGGTTAACAAAAGTTGGTGCAAAATTTAGACGTTTTAATAGCTACGTAGTAGGGGATTTCAAATATTATTTTCTAAAGATTAACTGTTAACATTTAGGTCCTGTAAAGAAAAAGTTTTAAAATGCCCTAGAATATAGTATTTTTTTTTGTAATTAGTGTTTCTAGATGAAACAGACCTTCTAAACTTTATTTCTAAAAATCAAAAGCTATTAGAGCCAGAAAGGTTTTTTTCTTATGGATGAGGAAACTGGAGCCACATGTGAATATGGACAGCCCTGTTCTGTTTGAGTATTGGAATGTGTGGTTTACCATTTGAATGAAGACCTGAGCAAGTAAGAGCTTGTCATTGTTGCAGATGGTGCTCAGGCCTGCACTCGACTCTGTGCTGCCCCATCATCCTGGATGACTCTCTCCTTTGTTATATTTGCAGGGAAAGCTAAGGAGGCAGCATATTAGAAATCCATAGTAATGTAGATAAATTTTGTAAATTTAAATAAGATTGGTCACCATTCCTATGTAATTCAGAGCAAAAGAAGGGATTTTTTTTCTAGTTTTTCGCATCTTGCTTGCCATTATGAATGTGGCATTCAGCTTTGAATCGTTTCCAGTGACGTGATTTTCAATATTGTTGTGTGTGACATTTTGACAATTAAAATGCCTAATGCAAATGCTGCAATGCTTTTTCTTCTTTTCATTCCCCCTTTCCTCAGTGGGGCTGTGTTTGTTGGCTAGGAAGCCACAAACGGGTTGCATTCTTGTTGCTTGGTTGTCAGACTGGTGGAGTTATTGATAGTTTTCATCTTTAGAGTTGTAAACGTGCTACTTAAATATTAGAGCCATTTTATCAATATTAAAGTACTTCATCTGCCCAATTAAAAAGCAGCCAAGCATTTGTTTGATTTTCTATAACTAGTTGAAGATTTTTGTCTTCAAGCCAGAAACTTCTGCCTGCAAAAACACGAACCCAGTGAGAAGAAGTGAGAAGTAAATTAATGTAAAAGTTAAACTGAAGACAGTGATACTGCATTGTGAAACCTATTTGTCTGAGGACAATCAGTTGCTGGTTGAAGATCGGACAAGAGAAGTCACCCTCTGAGCTATACTTGATCAGAGTCACCACCAGGGGTGACTGCACTAGGCCAGGAGAGTAGAGAGTAGGTTAGCGTCTCACTTCCCCGTGGGTCTTGAGCATCCTGTAAACTTTTGAGCTGCTGTGCCTTTTACAACAATAATAGCCCTGTCCTCAGGCTGCAGCCCAGAAATGCGTAGAATCCCTGCATTGGTTGAGGCATCTATGGATCCAGAGAAGTGGCTGGGATCTTGCGGCCCTGCTGCTTGCTAGAGTCTGAGTAATATCTGGGGAGGAACCCGAGAGGACTCCCTGGCCTCTGTTGGACAATCTGATGAGATGGAGGATGAAGAAGGCTGAGCCTTGTGTCCTACAAAGATCCTGAGAGCCAGAATCACAGGTGGGTCAGCTCAGTGGGAAGGAGAAGGGATTCTGGAAGCCAGTCCTTCATGGGATGCTCTCCAATAACAGAAATATTCATGTGAGCCACTAGACGAACTGTAAGAAAACCCTCTTTGAAAACTCCTAAAAGAGTTCGTCTTTTTTTTTTTTTTTTTTTGAGATGGAGTCTCGCTCTGTCGCCCAGGCTGGAGTGCAGTGGTGTGATCTAGGCTCACTGCAAGCTCCGCCTCCTGGGTTCACACCATTCTCCTGCCTCAGCCTCCCGAGTAGCTGGGACTACAGGCACCCACCACCACACCCGGCTAATTTTTTTGTATTTTTAGTAGAGACGGGGTTTCACTGTGTTAGCCAGGATGGTCTCGATCTCCTGACCTAGTGATCCTCCCGCCTCGGCCTCCCAAAGTGCTGGGATTACAGGTGTGAGCCACCGCGCCCATCCTGTGTCTTTTTTTTTAATGAGACAGAGGGTCTTGCTGTGTGGCAGAGGCTGGTTTCAAACTCTTGTCCTCAAGGAATCCTCTGGCCTTCAGCCACCCAGGGTTGGGATTATAGGCCTGAGCCATCATGTGTGACCCCTAAGAACTTATGTTTTTGGAAATTCCTCTCAACTCTGCACAAATCAAGTTGTAATTTTGGCAATGGTTTGAGATTTTAAATCTGTTTCTGAGTATTTGCAGGGTTTTGAATGGAAATTTAAAAGATGGGTCATGGAATATTAACAGTGCATTTTAAACAGATCCCCAGGAGTAATTACTTTTTAATTTTTATTTTTATTTCAATAGTTTTTGGGTAAGCTGGTTTCAGTTACATGGATGTGTTCTGAGATTCTACTGGACCCATCACCTTAGCAGTATACACTGTACCTATTATGTAGTTTTTTATCCCTCATCCCCCTCCCATCCTTTCCGAGTCCCCAAAGTCAATTATATCATTCTTAGGCCTTTTTATCCGCATAGCTTAGCCCTCACTTTTTTTTTTTTTTTGAGATGGAGTCTCGCTCTGTCTTCCAGGCTGGCGTGCAGTGGTGCGATCTCCGCTCACTGCAAGCTCCGCCTCCTGGGTTCACACCATTCCCCTGTCTCAGCCTCCCGAGTAGCTGGGACTGCAGGCACCTGCCACCACACCTGGCTAATTTTTTATTTTTAGTAGAGACAGGGTTTCACCATGTTAGCCAGGATGGTCTCAATCTCCTGACCTCGTGATCCGCCCACCTCGGCCTCCCAAAGTGCTGGGATTACAGGCGTGAGCGACTGCGCCCGGCCAGCTCTCACTTTTAAGTGAGAACATATGATACTTGGTTTTTCATTCCCAATCCTAAATTACTTCACTTAGAATAATGGCCTCCAGCTCCCTCCAAGTTGCTGTAAAAGGCATTTGTTCCTTTTTGTGGCTGAGTGGTATTCCGTGGTGTATATATACCACGTTTTCTTTGTCTGCTCGTTGGTTGATGGGCACTTAAGTTGGTTCCATGCCTTTGCAGCTGTGAATTGTGCAAACATGCATGTGCATGTGCCTTTTTCACAGGATGACTTCTGTTCCTTTGTGTAGATACCCAGTAGTGGGGCTGCTGGACTGAATGGGAGTTCTACTTTTATTTCTTTAAGGACTCTTCATACTGTTTTCCACAGTGGTTATGCTCACTTACATTCCCCACTAGGAGAGTAAGAGTGTTTCCTTTTCACCACATTCATACCAACATCTGCCGTTTTTTGACTTTTTAATTATGGCCATTTTTGCAAGAGGAAGGTGGTGTCTCATTGTGATTTTGATTTGTATTTGTTTGATGATTAGTGATGCTGAACATTTTTTCACGTGTGTCTGCTTGTGTATCTTTTGAGAAGTGTCCATTTATATCTTTTGCCCACTTTTTAACAGGGTTATTTATATTTTGCATGTTGATTTAAGTTCCTTACAGATGTGGATATTAGACCTTTGTCAGATGCATAGTTGGGGAATATTTTCTCTCATTTCATAGGTTGTATATTTACTCTGTTAATAATGTCTTTCGCTGTGAAGAAGCTCTGTCATTCAATTAGGTCCCACTTGTCAACTTTTGTTGGTGTTGCAATTGCTTTTGATGACCTCGTCATAGATTTTTTCCCAAGGCTGATGTCCCAAATGGTATTTCCTAGGTTTTATTCTAGAGTTTTTATGGTTTGAGGTCTTACACTTAAATCTCTGATCCAGTGGCTAGACCAGCCATCTTCAAGAGACTCATCTCACGTGTAACAACATCCACAGGCTCAAAGTAAAGGGATGGAGAAATATCTACTGTGCAAAAGTCACTATTCTTTTTTTTGAGACGGGCTCTGTCACCGAGGCTGGAGTGCAGTGGTGTGATTATGGCTCGCTGCACTCAACTTCCCAGTCTCAAGTGATCCTCCCACCTCAGCCTCCTTGTGTCCTGAGTAGCTGAGACTACAGGCATGCACCATCACACTTGGCTAATTTTTGTATTTTGTGGTAGAGATGGGGTTTTGCCACGTTGCCCAGGCTGATCTCCAACTCCTGTGCTCAAACAATCCACTTGCTTCAGCCTTCCGAAGTGCTGGGATTACAAGCATGAGCCACTGTGTCCAGCCCAGGCATTGCTATTCTTATATCAGATAAAACAAACTTTAAAGCAATAAAAATTAAGTAGGAGAATGAAGGCCATTACATAACGATATTTTTATTTTTTTGAGATGGAGTCTTGCTCTGTCGCCAGGCTGGAGTGCAGTGGCACAATCCCGGCTCACTGCAACCTCTGCCTCCCGGGTTCAAGCGATTCTCCTGCCTCAGCCTCCCGAGTAGCTGGGATTACAGGCGTGCGCCACTATGCCCAGCTAATTTTTGTAATTTTAAAAGAGACGGGATTTCACCATGTTGGCCAGGATGGTCTTGATCTCTTGACCTTGTGATCCGCCCGCCTCGGCCTCCCAAAATGCTGGGATTATAGGCGTGAGCCACCGCGCCCAGCTTACATAATGATAAAGGGTACAATCCAACAAGACTTAACTACCTTAAATATATATTCACCCAACATTGGAACAACCAGATTCATAACACAAGTTCTTGACCTACAACATGACTTAGACAACCACACAGTACTAGTGGGAGACTTCAACTCCCCACTGACAGCGTTAGACAGATCATTAACACAGAAAATTAACAAGGAAGCTGGACTTAAACTCAACACCTGACCAGTTAGACCTAATAGTTTTCTACAGAAAACTCCACTCAACAGCCACAGAATATACTTTTTTCTCATCTGCACAGGTAAGACTCTCTAAGATCAATCGCATGCTCAGTCATGAAGCAAGCCTCAATAAATTTAAAAAATAACCTGGACGGGCCCAGTGGCTCACACCTGTAATCCCAACACTTTGGGAGGCCAAGGCGGGCGGATCACGAGGTCAGGAGTTTGAGACCAGCCTGGCCAACATGGCTAAATCCCGTCTCTACTAAAAATACAAAAAATTAGCCGGGCATGGTGGCAGGTACCTGTAATCCAGGCTACTTGGGAGGCTGAGGCAGGAGAATCGCTAGAACCCAGGAGGTGGAGGTTGGAGGTTGCAGTAAGCCGAGATTGTGCCATTGTACTCCAGCCTGGGAGACAAGAGCAAGATCCCGTCTTAAAAAACAAAAAAAGGCAGAAATTTAAAAAATCTTTCGAATTTATGAAAATTTAAAAAATCTTTCAAATTTATGAAAATAGGGACATAGCTTACCCAAGATTCCTGGGATGCAGCTAAAACAGTGTCAAGAAGAAAGTGTATATCACTAAACGCATTCATCAAAAAGTCAGACCTCAAGTTAATTAATTTGGTACATAAAGGAACTAGAAAACCAACCAACCTCAAAGCTTGCAGAAGCAAGTAACTTAAATTGGAGAACTTAATGAAATTGAGATGCAAAAATCTATACAAAAGATGAATAAAATCAAGAGTAGCTTCTGTGAAATAGTTAAACAAGATTGATAGACTGCTAGCTAGATAAAGGAAAAAAAAGAGAAGATCCAAATAAATATAATTGGAAATGACAAAGATGGCATTACAGCTGATCCCACAGAAATACAAAGAACCCTCAGAGAATACTATGAACATGCTCTGGACGTGTGCACAAGTTAGAAAATCTAGAGGAAACGGATATATTCGGGAAACACACAATCTCCCGCGATTGAATCAGGAAAAGCTTGAAACCTTGAACAGAACAATATTGAGCTCAGATTGAATCAGTAATATAAAACCTCAAAGAAAAGGCCCTGCACCAGATGGATTCACAGCCAAATTCTACCAGATGCATAAAGATGAATTGGCAACAATCCTATTGAAATTTTTTTTTTTTTTTTTTTTGAGACAGAGTCTTGCTCTGTCGCCCAGGCTGGAGTGCAGTGGTGCGATCTCGGTTCACTGCAAGCTCTACCTCCTGGGTTCACACCATTCTCCTGCCTCAGCCTCCTGAGTAGCTGGGACTACAGGCGCCCGCCACCACGCCCGGCTAATTTTTTTTCGTATTTTTAGTAGAGACGGGGTTTCACTGTGTTAGCCGAGATGGTCTCGATCTCCTGACCTTGTGATCCACCCGCCTCGGCCTCCCAAAGTGCTGGGATTACAGGCGTGAGCCACCGCGCCCGGCCTCTACTGAAACTATTTTAAATAACCAAAGAAGAGAGGCTCTTCCATAATTCATTCTCTGAAGCCAGCATCAGCCTAATACTAAAATCTGGCAGGGACATGACAACGTGACAACCAAAGAAAACCTCAGACCAGTATTTGTGATGAAGCAAATATCTTCAACAAAATGCTAGCAAGCTAAATCCAGCAGCACATGAAAATGTTAATTCACCGTGATCAAGTAGGCTTTATTCTGGGGATGCAAGGTTGGTTCAACATTTGCAGTAACAAATGTGATTCACTTCAGGAACGGAAAACCATATGATCATATATATAGATGCAGAAAACCTTTTGATAAAATGCAACATCCCCTCATGATAAAAACCCTAACAGGCTGGGCACGGTGCCTCCCAACACACTGGGGAGTGAGGCTGGAGGATGGCTTGAGCCCAGGAGTTCAAGGCCTGCCTGAGCAACACAGACCCATCTCTACCAAAATATATATATATATATGCACCCAGTGTGGTGGTACATGCCTGCATTTTCAGCTACTCAGGAGGCTGAGGCAGATAGATCACTTGAGCTTAGGAGCTTGAGGCTGCAGTGAGTGTGATCATGCCACTGTACTCCAGCCTGGGCAACAGAGTGAGACCCTCAAAAAATGAAATCAGATATAAAATAATAAACTAAATGTGAGGAGCACAGTAAATAATACAAAGAAGTTGGGAAACATCTCCAGCGGGGAGATGTGTGTTGTTTCCCTCTCTGTGTCCATGTGTTCTTACTATTTATCTCCTACTTATAAGTGAGATTATGTGGTATTTGGTTTTCTGTTCTGCATTAGTTTGCTAAGGATAATGGTCTCCAGCTGCATCCATGTCCCTGCAAAGGACGTGATCTTGTTCTTTTTCATTAGCCTGCAATATCTGCATATTCCTACCTACTACCTGACCACTTCAGCTAATCCTATGTCACAAGTTAAGGTTCTGAGACTTGTAGCCTCCACTTCAGGGACTATATTTTATTTTGTAGCTATTGTATTCTGAGCCTTGATCTTAGTGGTCCAAGATTATAGCATCAGCTTCCAGAGAGGATGGAGAAAGAGAAAGTCAAGAAGAAAAAAGAGCATGATCAATATGCCTCTTAAGGCTCTTGGGAGCTGCTAAGTGATGCTTTGCTCGCAAATCATCAGTTGGAGGGTACAGACAGGGCCATATCTAACTAACAGAGGGGCTAGGATATGCAATCTCCATCCTGGGGAGCCATATGCCTAGTCCAAAAATGGGGTTCTGTCACTTTGGAAGTGAGACTGGCAACTAGGGCAGAACAGCAGTCTCTGCCATAGAAAGATATCAGTATAATTCCCATTTTGAAGATAAGAACACTGAGGCCTAAAGAGGCTGAGTGCTTCTTGAGAGTAAGTGGTAAAGCCGATTCCGACTGTGTAATCTGTCTAGTACTCGTTAGTTGTTTTTCCAGATGCTCTCCCTCCTCCCACCCTCCGTCCTCTAATAGGCCCCAGGGTGTGTTTTTCTCCTCTGTGTGTTCATGTGTTCTCATCATTTGACTCTCATTTATAAGTGGGAATATCCCATATTTGTTTTTCTCTTTCTGTGTTAGTTTGCTAAGGATAAGGGTCTCCAGCTCCATCATGTCCCTGCAAAGGACATGATCTCATTGTATTTTATGGCTGCATTGTATTCCATAGTGTATATTACCACATAGTCTTTATCCAGATTTAAATGTAAAACCCAAAACCATAAAAACCCCTGACAACAGCATAGGCAATACCATTCAGGACATAGGCATGGACGAAGATTTCATGAGAAAGACACCAAAAGCAACGGCAACAAAAGCCAAATTTGACGAATGGGATCTAATTAAACTGAAGAGCTTCTGCGTAGCAGAAGAAACTATCAGCACAGTAAAGAGGCAACCTATAGAATAGGAGAATATTTTTGCAAACTTTGCATCCAACAAAGGTCTGATATCCGTCATCTATAAGGAACTGAACTTAAACAAATTTATAAGAAAAAAAGGTGGCTAGATGGACTGGTAGTTGAAGTTTCAACTTTGTGAGAAACCTACTCCTCCACCCATTCTGGATCCCCTTGCTGTAGACTGTTTGTGTCTTCCCAAATTGTCAGCAGTAGAGTTCCAAGAAGACTGGAAGCATTGGCGGTTGCAGAAAAGCAGAGGCAGCTGTGGCAGCCCAGGCTGAGCAGGTGCAGGAGTTCCAGAGCCTTGGAGCCATGGCCTGGGCTGATGCATACTGGAGATGGGATCAGCCTGCGTGCCACGCGCACTGTGAGCAGCAGGCAGGGCCAAACCACCTTTTCTGCCCGCACATGGTGCGCATGTGTGTTCTCCTCTCTCCCCACCCCCGCCATGGAGGCGGTGTGGCATGTGTGGCGTGGCATGGCATCCACAGTGAGGACAAGAGAAGAGCTCCGTTCCCTCAGGACCCCACTGGGTGCCGCTGGCAGCTTCCAGATGACCTGGGCCCCTGTCCTGGGGAAGAAACAGCTCCCGTCCCTGGTGCTGACTGCTGAGGAGGGAGCTTCCTTCTGTGCGGGCTTCTCCACAGCGCGACTGCTCCAGCATTTTTCCTTCAAGGTGAGTATAGAAGAACATTTTCTTCTATGTTCTGTTTCTTCTTGTCAGGTTCTCAGTCGTTTTGCTCTTTCTCTGGTAGTATTTTAGTCTTTGTTTTTCAGTGTTTTTCGTTTCCCCACCAGGGGCTTTTGAGGGTGGCAACATAGCAGGCTGTGGTATTTTTAGGGGTTCGGGATTTTTTCTCAGGGAAACTCCCCCATGTAGATACAGAGGGAAGCTGCAGCTGCTGGAATAAGGGGAAACCCAGCCCAGGTTGAGGGAAGGGGCCAGGTCCAGGTTTGGCTGCAGGTGTCCAAGCCTCAGAAAGAGGAAAAGAGATCTAGCTGCCTCCAGGTTTCCGTAGGTATGAAAATGTGCGTTCCAGCTGCCAGGACACAGGGGCCGCTTTTCTCCACCCGCCGGCAGCAAGTGTGCCCTCCTGTACGTCCTGTCATGGCCACCTGATGGGGTAGGGAGCTTCACTGCAGTTTAATGTTGTCTTTGCAGAAATACATTTCAGGGTCCCTGCCCAAGTTGCGGTGGATCATTTGTTCTTTTTTCTCGTTGTTGTTGCTACTGAGTACTGTGTATATGTTCTGTTCTGTATTTTCCATAACAAGCCCTTAGCAGATACGTCGTGAGTCCCCCAAACCCTCTTTCAACCTTTCTCATTGAGTTCGTCATTTCCTTTGCCGTGCGGCAGCTTTTCAGTCTGCTGTAGCCTCTTGCATATCTGTTTCTGCTTTTGTTGCTTGTGATTTTAGTGCCTAAGTAAAAAAAAAAAAATTCACATATAATTTCCATTCTCAGTGAAATTTTACCCCTACGTGTTCCTTTTTTCATTTTCTTTTCTTTTTTTTTGTTTTTTGAGACAGGGTTTTTGCTCTTGTTGCCCAGGCTGGAGTGCAATGGCACGATCTCGGCTCACCGCAACCTCCGCTTCCCAGGTTCAAACGATTCTCCTGCCTCAGCCTTCCTAGTAGGTGGGATTACAGGCAGGCGCCACCATGCGGGGCTAATTTTGTATTTTTAGGAGAGACGGGGTTTCTCCATGTGGACCAGGATGGTCTCAAACTCCCAACCTCAGGTGATCCACCTCCCTTGGCCTCCCAAAGTGCTGGGATTACAGGCGTGAGCCACTGCTCCCTGCCTTCATTTTCTTTTCTTTTTTAAAACTCTTTCCAACCTGTGGACATGGATTCAAGTTGCTCTGAAAGTAACCTCCCCTATTTTTGCATACAGGAATTTTATTATTTTCATGGTTTCAGGTCTTGTATTTAGGTCCACTTTGAGTTGATTTTTTGCATTGTGTAACAGAGGGTTGTATTTCATTCTTTTGCAATAGGGATGTTGGTTTTCTCAAAACCATTTAATGAAGAACATCTCTTATCCCCATTGTGTCTTTCTGATCCCTGATGCTCATTCCATTTGCTATGGAGGTCTACCCAGTAGGGGGATTGCTGATCATATGGTAGTTACATTTTCTTTCTTTTTTTTGAGACAGAGTCTTGCTGTGTTGCCTAGGCTGGAGCAACATTCATTCTAGTAAGAGTGAAATGGCACACTGCAGCCTCGACCTCCCAGGATCAAGTGATGTTCTCACCTCAGCTTCTTGAGTAACTGGGACTACAGGCGTATCCCACCATGCCTGGCTAATTTTTTTTTGTAAGAGATGGGATTTTGCCACGTTGCCAAGGCTGGTCTCAAACTCCTGAGCTCAAGCGATATGACCACACTGGCCTCCTACTAGTTGTGTTTTCAGTTTTTTGAGGGACCTCCAACTCTTTAGCATAGTTTATATACTAATTTATTTTCCCACAAACAGTGTGTAAGAGTTCCCTTTTCTCTATATCTATACCAGCATTCTTCTTTTTAAATTTTTTTTTTATGGCCAGGCACAGTGGATCACGCCTGTTACCCCAGTACCTTGGGATGCTGAGGTAGACAGATCACTGAAGTCCAGGAATTTGAGAGTAGCCTAGGCAACATGGCAAAACCCCATGTCTACAAAAAAATACAACACTAGCCAGGCGTGGTGGTGCATGCCGGTAGTCCCAGCTACTTCAGAGGCTCAGGTGGGAGGATCACTTGAGCCTGGGACATCAAGGCTTCAAGTGAGCGGAGATCTTGCCGCTGCACTCCAGCCTTGGGGACAGAGTAAGTCCCTGTCTCAAAAAAATATGTTTTAAATCTTTTTAGTAACATTCATTTCAGTAAGAGTGAAATGGCATCTGAATGGTTTTGAAGTACATTTTTCCTGATGAATAGCGATGCTGAGGACCTTTTCTCTCACCTGTTGGCCAGTTTCATGTCATCTTTGCTGAGATGTCTATTCAGATTTTTTTGCCCAGTATTAGTTTAGATATGTATTTTTAGGCTTAGAATTTTGTTTTCTTTATACATGTTTGATAACATCCAGTTGTCACTCATAATGCACTCAAATTTTCAAACAGTTTTGTTTTTGAGACAGAGTATCACTCTGCCACCCAGGCTGGAGCCCAGTGGCACCTCACACAAACACGTATTTTGGATACCTACAGCTTTGGGATGTAACTCGATATCAAGGATTGTAAGCCCTCCAACTTAGTTTGTATTTCTCAGGGCACCTCAGGTATTCAGGGCCGTTTGTGGTTTCATGTGAATATTAGCATTATGTATTCAGATTTCTTAAATGTTCTGTGTATAGTAAAGTACATTATTAGAGGGCATGCTGAGACATTTTGTTCCTCTGAGATATGTTAATATATGTGTATTTTGAGTAATGATCAAACCAAGGTACTTAGCATATCTGTTTCCAAAGATCAGGTATTATTTCTCTGTTGAGAGAACAAATCGTTCCCTTCTAGCTTTTTTGAAAAATACCACACAATATTTTGTTAACCAGTCACCCAGCTGTGGTATAGAACACCAGAATGTGTTTCTGTCATCTAACTGCAACTATGTTTCCAAAATGAATCTTTCACATCCCCCTCATTCCCCCTGCTCAGCAAACCACCACTGTACTTCTACTTCTTGAAGGTAAAGATTTTGGATTCCATATAAGTGAGATGATGCTGTGCTTGTCTTTCTATGCCTGGCTTATTTTACTTAACATAATATTTTCCAGGTTCATCCATGTTGTTCCAAATGAGAAGGACATGATTTGCATGTGGCCGAGGAGTATTGTGTTGTGCGGATATCCCACAGTTTCCTCATCCCTTCACCTGTGGATGGTCAGGTAGATTGATTCCCTATCTTGGGTATCGTGAATTGTGCTTCATTAAACACAGGAAGGCAGGTAACTCCTTAAGGGACAGGTTTCCTTTGCTGTAAATGAAAAACCGAGTGTGGGAATGACTAGATGAACTGGAAGTGGTTTTAATTTTTTGAGGAAGCTCCAACTTTTTTTCACAGTATATACACTAATTTTCAGTGCCACCAATAGCGTATACGAGTTTCCCTTTGCATGAATCTACATAGGCCCCTGCCTTCCAAAACTTCTATTGCTCCTTTGAGTAATGCTCATTCTCAGTGGAGTTTGACAGTATCTTAGTGTATGTCTGGCGTGAGAGTGATGGGGTGCCACTCTTCTTTTAGCTGTGAGTCAATTTCATGTTTTCTTTGCAGAAGTGGCTATCGCACGTCCTTTGCACGTTTGTCGCTTGTGTATTTGTTTTTATCCTTTCCCCCCACTTAGTAGTTTTAGTTTCTTGAATAGGTTTGAAATTTATGATTTTCCATAATTTTCCCCCAATCATCTTTTCCCCCAAGGTAGGATACCTTCTCTTTGGGTTCGTTGTTTTCTCTCCCATGTAGAGAGGTCTAAAGTGTTTCTTAGTCTCAAATGCTGATATTTGCTTTTGTTAGCAGTGATTTCTGTGTCCCGTTGAGAGGGAGAGAAGGGGGATGGTGAAGCCGTGGTATTGTCTATGGGTACACAGATTCAAGTTTTCCCACAAAGAAACGCTGATCTTGTGTTTTCCCCTTGGAGTTTTTTGGTTTCAGGATTGAATTTGGGTGTTAAATTGGTTTTGCATTGATTTTTTTTTTTTTTGAGACAGAGTCTCACTCTGTCACCCAGGCTGGAGTGCAGTGGCGCCATCTTGGCTCACTGCAAGCTCCGCCTCCCGGGTTCACGCCATTCTCCTGCCTCAGCCTCCCGAATAGCTGGGAGTACAGGCGCCCGCCACCAGGCCTGGCTAATTTTTTTTTTTTTTTTGTATTTTTAGTACACACGGAGTTTCACCATGGTCTCAATCTCCTGACCTCATGATCTGCCCACCTCGGCCTCCCAAAGTGCTGGGATTACAGGCGTGAGCCACCGCGCCCGGCCGCATTGATTTTTATGTATTATACAACATAAGGGAACTGTTTCAATCTTTGGCACATGAATACCCAGTTTTCTCAACAGTTATGCCTTCAGTGAGCTTTTGCAAACTATGTTTTCACTATGTAAAATTCTAGGTTGATTATTTGCCTCCCCAGTTTTGTCCATTCAGTGTCTTTCTCTGTTTATGCCAGTAACGAATTGTTTGGATCACTGTAGGTTTCCTCTTTTCCTTTTCTAAGAACTTATTTTCAGCTCCTAGCCTTGGTTTCTAAAGTGACACCTACTTGTATTGTGAGTAAAGGGTGGGGTTTGCAGGTGGGGCACGTGGGTGTATAGCAGGGAGCTGAACTTGGGTTCCCAATGAACCCCGTTACCCAGGCAGTGAGGGCAGCAGCAGTCGAGCGGTTCTACTGCCAGGTCTCCCTGTCTTCCTCCTTTTTCCGTCTGGTTGGCCTAGTGTCTGTTTTGTTTTGTTTTTTTTTTTCATCTTTATGTTTGGGTGTGTTCAACGTTTAGCTTCCAGCTATAAGTGAGAACATGATGTATTTGGTTTTCTGTCCTTGTTTTAGCTTGCTTAGCATAGTGGCCTCCAGGTCCATCCTTGTTGCTGCTGAGGGCATGATTTCTTTTTCAATCTACGTAGAATTTTGCGGTGTCTATGTACCAAACTTTAATAATAATAATCCACTGTTGATTTGCACATAGGTCCATCTCAGCATTTAGTTCTTGTGAATAGCAGTTCTGAAAACACAGGAGTGTGTGTGTCCTTTTGTTAGAAGCATTTGTTTTCCTTTGGGTAGATACCCAGTGGTGGGATTGCTGGGTCAGAGGGTAGTTCTTTTGTAAGTACTCTGAGTAATCTCCAGGCCACTTCCCACATTGTGAGAGCTAGTTTGCATTCACACTGAGAGTGTAGCAGCCTTCCCTGTCCTCTGCTACCTCACCAGCATCTTATGTTTTGACGTGGACGAAGGGCCATTCTGAGTGGCGTCAGAAGGTATCTCATTGTGCTTGTGAGTTGCGTTTCTCTGATGATTAGTGACGTTGAGCATTTTTTTTCATGCCTGTCAGTCACTTGTCTGTCCTGGCTTGACAAGTGTGCATTTACGTTTTTTGCCCATTTTTTAAATTGGATTATTTGCTTTTCTGCTTTTTCATTGAAGGTCATGGTAGAGTCTGGCTATAAGACCTTGGTCAGAAATAGTTTGGGAACAATTAATGGATCCTGTAGCCTGTGTATTCACCGTGATGGTGATTTCTTTTGCTGTGCGGCAGATGTTTCGTTTCTTAGGCTCGACTAGTTCATTTTGGTTTTTCTTGCCATTGCTTTTGGGGACTAAGCCATACAAATGGTTTACTAAAGCCTGTGTTGAGAAAGGTATTTCCTCCATTTTCTTGTAGGACTTTCACAGTTTGAGGTCTTCTTCTGAAATCTTTCATCCACCTTGAGTTAGGTTTTGCATGTGGCGAGAGGCAGGGCTCCAGTGTTACCCTTCTGCCAGCCACTCATCCTAGCACCGTTCATTGCATAGCGAGTCCTTCATCCATTGCTTATTTTTGTGGATTTTGTTGAAAGCCAAATGATTGTCGTTGTGCAGGGTTACTTCTGGGTTCTCTGCTCTGTCTAGGTGGAAGTGGGTCTGTAGCTTTGGGATGAAATTGGAAAGTGGGGAATGTGCCGCGTCTGACATAGTTTGGATTTCTCAGCCTGGCTTTGGAATTTCAGGGCATTTTGTGGTTGCATGAGAATTTTCACATTGTTTCTTTAAAAACAAACTTTCGGCCAGGCACGGTGGCTCACGCCTGTAATCCCAGCACTTTGGGAGGCCGAGGTGGGTGGATCACGAAGTCAGGAGATCGAGACCATCCTGGCTAACACGGTGAAACCCCGTCTACTAAAAATGCAAAAAAAAAATTAGCCGGGTGTGGTGGTGGGCGCCTGTAGTCCCAGCTACTCGGGAGACTGAGGCAGGAGAATGGTATGAACCCCGGAGGCGGAGCTTGCAGTGAGCAGAGATCACTCCACTGCACTCCAGCCTGGGCGACAGAGTGAGACTCCATCTCAAAAAAAAAAAAAAAAAAAAAAAAAAAAAAAAAACTTGCTCTGTAGTAAAGATGCACAACTAGAGGGTAGAGTGGGACATTTTGGTCCATGCATGCATTGTATCATGATGGAATCGGGATACTTAGCATTTCTTTTGCCTCATAGAATTATTTCTTTGAGGGGAGGACATTCAGAATCCTCCTTGTTAGCTGTCCTGAAAATTACCCTCTGATAATATTATCCCTAGTCACCCTGCTGAGGAATAGAACTGCAGGTTTTATTCTTCTCAAAAAATGTGGAACTTTGTACCCATTTTGATTCCCTGCCCAGGGCCCACCTTCCCCTCAAACCCTGGTAAGCACTAGGGTGCTTTCTAGGTCTATGAGATAAAGATTTTTAGATGCCTCATGAGTGAAGCGATGCAATGTTTGTTTTTCTCAGCGTAGCTCATTTCATTTACTATCATTTCCTCCAGGTTCAACCATGTGGCTCCCGATGACATGATTTCAGTATCTGTGTCTGGCTGAAGAGTGTTCCATTGTGAATGGACACTATGGTTTCTGTATCCCATCATCTGTGGATGGATAGGTAAGTTGATTTCTCATCTTAGCTCTTGTGAATAGTGCCACAGTCAGCATGGGAAGGCAGATACCTCTTCCATGGACTGATTTCTTTTGCTTTGAATGTATACCCAGCAGTAGCATGGCTAAATGAAATGGTAGTTCTTTTTTTCAATGTTTTGAGGAACCTCCAGCTGATTCCTGTAGTGTATATACCAGAATATTCCTACCAGTTGTGGCTAAGATTTCCCCTCTCTGGAAACCCACACCAGCATTTGTCTTTTATATATATGTTCACTTTTTGGTACTATTTATTTCAATTAGAGTGACATGGTATCCGAGTGTTTTTCGGATTCCCATTTTTTTCATAACTAGTGGTGTTAACCAAGTGTTTGTGAACTTGTTTTCAATTTTATGTGTTCTTTGAAGAAAAGTTTATTCAGGTTCTTGGCCCATTTGCCATGGTTTGGTTATCAGTTTCTCTGTTTTTTTTTTGTTTGTTTTGTTGTTTGCTAGTTAGTGGTGTCAGTACTATACCTTGTACCTTTTCCAGAACAACCCCTTATCAGCTGTGTGTTTCCCCAAACCTTTCTTCTCATCTTCAGGATGCTTTTTGTTTTCTTTATTGTTTCCTTTGTGAGTACGAGGTCTTCATTTTGATATAGTCCCACATGTGTATAATTCCCTGGTTGCCTGTGATGTTGGTGATTAATCAAGACAAAACATACTCACTACTAAGGCAATCTTTTGTCAATGATTTTTCTCCCGTATTTTTGTGGTTTTCTGTTTTCAAACTCTAAACATCCATATGCGTTGTTCTAAGTATACACACATGCTAGGTTTTCTTTTCTTTTTTTATTTTTATTTTTTGTTGTTGCTTTTTTTTTTAGAAGGAATCTGGCTTTGTCATCACCTCAACTGCCAGAATGGATGCAGTGGCGCGATCTCAGCTAACCTCAATCTCCACCTCCTGGATGCAAGTGATTCTCCAGCCTCAGCCTCCCGATTAGCTGAGATTACAGGCGGCATGCCACTGCATCTGGCTAATTTTTGTATTTTTAGTAAAGAGCGGGTTTCACCATGTTGGCCAGGCTGGTCTCGAACTCCTGACCTCAGGTGAGTCGCCCACCACAGCCTCCCAAAGTGCTGGGATTACAGGCGTGAGCCACTGCGCCTGGCCAGGTTTTCTTTTAATAGCTTAATGATTTCAAGTTTCGCGTATATTCTGCCATCCGTTTCAAATTGTTGATGGTGTATTTTGTACCACAGGTGTCCTGTCTCATTCTTTTGCATATGGATATCCAGTTTCCAATACCGTATATTGAACAGACTCTCCTTTCCCCATTGTGTTTCCTGGCATTATTCTTAAATATGTTTACTGTAGACGAATTTGGGTTTATTATTTGGCTCCCTCATTTTGCCCATTGCCCTGTGTTTCTGTGGGCATGCCTGTAACATATCGGTTGCATCACTGTAGCTTTGAGATGTAAATAGGAATGAGGTCTATGATGCATCCAACATAGTTTGGATTTGTAAAGATGGCTTTGGAAACCCAGGGCATTTTATGATTCCATGGGAATTTTGGTAGTATTTATTCAAACTTTGTTGTAATTGCTGTATAGTATATGTATACGACGAGAGGATGCAAGGGACATTTTGACATAGGTACACACATTGTAATGAACAAATCGTGGGATTTAACATTCCTATTACCTAGTATAGTTATTAGTTATTTGTGGAGAAAAAATTCAGTCTTCTCTACCTGCTATTTTAAAGATTATTCTAGGATATTGTGAACCTATGAACCCTGCTATGCAATAGAACACTGGAATTCAGTCCTCTCATCTAAGGGTATCTCTGTACTCATTTCAGCAGGTGTGTTTCTCTGAACACCTGCTTTGCCCTTCTGCTTGCTCCCATGCTGCAGCCTCAGTGGCATTCTGCTCACCCTTGCCATGCTGCCTTGAGCCATGGGAGGCTGCACAAGCTGTGGCCTCAGACTGGAACTCTCTTCTCCCTGCCTTTCCCACATAATTCCAATTCTCCTTCACATCCCTCCTCACGTGTCGCTTCCTCAAGGAAGCTTATCCCAGATCTCTTTCACTAGATCAAATTTCCATTTCTCAATTGCATCTGGCTGGCTGTGCTTCCTGACACTTGTCACGGTGACAGTTTTATAGATGTGTTGGTTATATAGCTCACCCCTGACTGTAAGACGACAGAAATTGTGTCTGTGTTGCCTCACCGTTGTATCTCCAATGCCTGGCATGTGGTTGAAGCTTAGTGAATCTTTATAAGTATGTAACTCTCTTCAGATACCTCTACTTAAAATTGCAATTCACCATGAAGCCACGGGAAAGAAGGATGGATTGCATGGAAGGTGAATCTGCTTTAAACAGATATCTCTCTTACAAATCCATGGGTCTCTTTCCTATAATACTGTGACCCCAACTAGTAGGGAGACAATGAAGCCAGAGAGTATCACAGTGGTTTCCTCCAAGGCTCTGAACCGCAGACCTGGACATACAGAAGCCAGAGTTTAAGGCAGGCCCTGAGCTCAGACTTTGGGTCTGTTTCCCACCTTATAATATACATATATATTTTTTTGAGACAGGATCTCATTCTGTCATCCAGGCTGGAGTACAGTGGTGCAATCATAGCTAACCGAAGCCTCAAACTGGTGGGCTCAAGTGATGATCCTATCTCAGCATACTGAGGAGCTGGGACTACAGGTCCCTGCCACAACACCCAGCCTTATTTTTTTGTAGACATGAGGTCTCACTCTGTTACCCAGGCTGGTCTTGAACTCCTGGCCTCAAGCTGTCCTACCACCTTGGCCTCCCAAAGTGCTGGGATTACAGGAGTGAGCTACCATGCTGGCCAGGAGTTCTGTATATATTCTACATACAAGTCTCTTTTCAAATATTTGACTTGCAAAAATATTCTCTCCTTCTATGGTTTGCCATTTCACTTTCTTGATGGTGTCCTCTGAAGCGGGAAAGTTTTGAGTTTTGTTGTAGTACAATTTATATATTTTTCTTCGTAGCTTATGCTTTTCTTGTCACATCTAAGAAAATATTGCCTAATCTAAAGTCACAAAGATTTGCACCCGTTTTCTTCTTAGAGTTTTATTTATTTATTTATTTATTTATTTATTTATTTATTTGAGACGGAGTCTTGCTCTGTCACCCAGGCTGGAGTGCAGTGGCCCGATCTCAGCTCACTGCAGCCTCTGCATCACGGCTTCCAGTGATTCTCCTGCCTCAGCCTCCTGGGTAGGTGGGATTATAGGCACATGCCACCATGCCCAGCTAATTTTTGTATTTTTAGTAGAGACAGGATTTTACCATGTTGGCTAGGCTGGCCTCGAACTCCTGACCTCAGGTGATCCACCTGCCTCGGCCTCCCAAAGTTCTGGGATTACAGGTGTGAGCCACTGTGCCCAGCCTTCTAGAGTTTTAGCTCATAATTTGGTCTATTATCCATTTTAAGTCAACTTTTGCATATGATGAGGTGGAGGTCCAACCTTATCCTCTTGTATGCGAATATCTAGTTTTCCAAGCATCATCTATGGAAAAGACTATTCTTTTCCCATTTGATTGTCTCAGCTGACCACTGTTGAAAATCAATTGACCATATAAGTGAGGCTTTATTACGGGACTCTGAATTCTACTCCATTGATCCATGTCTATTCTCATGTCAACACCACATTGCCTTGGTTACTGTAGCTTTCTAGAAAGTTTTGCAATCCAGAAGTGTGAGTCCTCCACCACTATTCTTCCTTTCAAGATTGTTTTGGCTATTTTGAGTCCTTGCATCTGTATGAATTTTTTTTTTTTTTTTTGAGGCAGTCTAGCTGTGTCACCCAGGCTGGAGTGCAGTGGTACAATCTCGGCTCACTGCAACCTCTGCCTCCAGGGTTCTAGCAGTTCTCCTGCCTCAGCCTCACAAGTAGCTGGGATTACACATGGCCCCCACTACGCCCAGCTAATTTTTTGTATTTTTAGTAAAGACGGGCTTCCACCATGTTGGCTGGTCTCAACTTCTGACCCCAGGTAATCCATCTGGCTTGACCTCCCAAAGTGCTGGGATTACAGGTGTGAGCCACCATGCCTGGCCTCAAGTTTGTTGAGTATTTTTATCATGAAGGGGCGTAGAATTTTGTCAAATGCTTTTTCTGCATCTATTGAAATTACCATGTGGCTTTTGTTCTTTATTCTGTTTATATGGTATATTGCATAAATTGTTTTTCAGATGTTAAAGCAACCTTGCATTTCTGGGATAAATCCCATTTGGTCATGGTGTATAATCCTTTTTATATATTGCTGCATTCAGTTTGCCAGTGTTATGTTGAGGATTTTTGCATATGTATTTATAAGAGATAGTGGTCTGTGGTTTTGTTGTAGTGTCTTGGGTTTTGGTGTCAGAGAATACTGGCTTTGCAGAATGAGTCAGGAAATGTTCTTCATTTTTCTGGAAGAGTATGTGAAGAATTGCTATTTCTGAGCATGGGCTTTTTCTGTGTTTAAAATTTTAAAATTACAAATTCAATATTTTGTTATGTTTCTAGTCAAGTTTTCTATTTTTTTTGAATCAGTTTTGGTAGTTTGTGTCTTTATAGGAATTTGTTCATTTCATATGTAAGTGATCTAATTTGTTGGCATATAGTTCATAGTATTTCCTTACAATTATTATTTCTGTAAGGTGCGTATTAATGTCCTCTTTTATTCCTGATTTTATTCATTTAAATCTTTCTCCTTCCCCCCACTTTTCTGATCATCTAGCTCAAGACTTGATTATTTTGTTGGTCTTTTGAAGCTCAAGACTTATTTTGTTGGTCTTGTGAAAGAACAAAGTTTTGGTTTTATTAATTTTCTCCATTTCTCTTCTTTAGATCACTTACTTTTGTTCTAATCCTTATTATTTTCTTCCTTCTCCTTGCTTTCGGTTTCATTTGGTCTTCTTTTTTTCCGAAATCTTCACGTGTAAAGTTAGGTTATTGACTTTCTCTTTATCTTTCTTCCTAAGGTTGGCGTTTACAGCTGTAGTTTTCCCCTAAGCACTGCTTTGACTCTATCCTATAAATTTTGATATGTTGTGTTTTCTCTATTGCTCATAGCAAAGTATTTTCTAATTTCTTTTGTGTTTTCGTCTCTGACCAGTTGGTTTTTGTTTGTTTTTTCTTGAGATGGAGTCTCGCTCTGTTGCCCGGGCTGGAGTGCAGTGGTGTGATCTCAGCTCACTGCAAGCTCCGCCTCCCGGGTTCACGCCATTCTCCTGCCTCAGCCTCCCGAGTAGCTGGGACTACAGGCGCCCGCCACCACGCCCGGCTAATTTTTTGTATTTTTAGTAGAGACGGGGTTTCACTATGTTAGCCAGGATGGTCTCAACCTCCTGACTTCGTGATCTGACTGCCTCGGCCTCCCAAAGTGCTGGGATTACAGGCATGAGCCACTGTGCCCGGCCATGAAGTCCTCGTTTAATCTTCAAATATCCAACATCCTCATGAGGCCCTAAGCTCCTGAGACCAAGGCAGGTATCTCTACCACCTGGGACTGTGCCAGCCACAGAGTGGGAACTTGGAAGATGTTTTCTGAATGAACAAATTCATCAGAAGAATACTTCCAAAAGAGGAAGAATACAGTGGCAAACTAATTTTAAGAAAAATGGGCCAGGCGTGGTCGCTCACGCCTATAATCTTAGCGCTTTTGGAGGCCAAGGTGGGAGGATCGCTTTTGTCTAGGAGTTTGAGACCAGCTTGGGCAACATAGCAAGACCCTGTCTCTGAGAAAAAATGTTAAGGAAAAATAGCCAGGCATGGTGGTGCACACCTGTAGTCTCAGCTGCTCTGGAGGCTGTGTTGGGAGGATCCCTTGAGCCCAGGAAATTGAGGCTGCAGTGAGCTGAGATCATACTATGGCACTCCAGCCTGGGCAACAGAGTGACACGCTGTCTTAAAAAAAAAGGGGGGGACGGGTCAAGTGGGGTGGCTCATGCGTGTAATCCCAGCACTTTGGAAGGCTGAACCAGGAGGATCATTTGAACCACCTGCTACAGGATATAAGCCTGGTCATGTTTCTCAATTCCTATGAGCTTTAGTTTCCTCTTTTATAGTAGATAATATCCATCCTACAAGTTAGTTGGGTGGGTTATAAACAAACTGTCTGGCACACAGTAGGCATTCAATAAATATTACCATAATTTTCACCATTATTATTTTAGAAGCCTGTTTCCACTCACATTGTAAAATTTTCCTGGTAAAAGCAAACAGTATTGCTTTCCTTTGTGTATAAGTATCATAACCAAGAGTGAAACACATTGAACAAAAGACAAATGCTTTGCCCCATATCAATTAATCCATTGAGGGCTGTCCAGCAATTTATATATAATGCTCACGTACATAGCAATCTCTGATGTGACTTATGTGAGCACAGGTACAGAGGCATTTGGTCTGAGGGATAGGGTAAGATAATCTAGGCAGTGGTGCTTTGGTTTATTTATTCAACAAATATTTTCTTTTTTGTACTAGAGAAAACTTTTTTTTTTTTCACTGCCCAGGCTGGAGTGCAGTGGCGCAATCTCTGTTCACTGCAACCTCCACCTCCCAGGCTCAGTGTTTCTCATGTCTCAGCCTCCCAAGTAGCTGAGATTACAGGTGTGTGCCAACGCGCCTGGCTAATTTTTTTGTACTTATAGCAGAGACAGAGTTTCAACATGTTGGCCAGGCTGGTCCCGAAGTCCTGACCTCAGGTGATCCACCAGCCTCGGCCTCCCAAAGTGCTGAGATGACAGGCATGAGCCACCGCGCCCGGCCGAGAAACATGTTGTGCTATTCTTAACATAAAATTGGAAGGCTGCAAGACAGCTTTTCAACGAATCTTTTCTGACCCTTACTCTGTGCCAGGCATTTTCTTAGGACATTAGATATAGTGGTAAATAAGACAGTTCCTACTTCCTTTTTTTTTTTTTTTTTGAGACAGAGTTTCGTTCTTGTTGTCCAGGCTGGAGTACAATGGTGCCAACTCAGTTCACTGTAACTTCTGCCTCCTGGGTTCTAGCAATTCTCCTGTTTCAGCCTCCCAAGTAGCTGGAATTACAGATGCCAGCCACCACGCCTGGCTAATTTTTGTATTTTTGTGCAGACGGGGTTTCATCATGTTGGTCAGGGTGGTCTCAAACTCCTGATCTCAAGTGATCCACCTGCCTCAGCCTCCCAAAGTACGGGGATTACAGGCGTCAGCCACCGTGCCTGGCTGACAGTTACTGCTTTCAAGGAGCTCAGTCTAATGGTGGGGAGGCAGAGAGCATTTTAACCTACTTACTGCTGGATTGTTAAGGGTCAATTCCAGGAGGTCAGTTGGCAACCATTGCTCAGTTCATGGTTTCGTTTGCATCCCTGACCTCACGTTCTTCTCGAACACCTTCCCCTCTCTCCTTTAGCCTGGCTGGCTCCTATTTCAAGACTCAGTGCATGCTCATGGGTAGGAAGAATCAATATCGTGAAAATGGCCATACTGCCCAAGGTAATTTATAGATTCAATGCCATCCCCATCAAGCTACCAATGACTTTCTTCACTGAATTGGAAAAAACTACTTTAAAGTTCATATGGAACCAAAAAAGAACCCACATTGCCAAGTCAATCCTAAGCCAAAAGAACAAAGCTGGAGGCATCACGCTACCTGACTTCAAACTATACTACAAGGCTACAGTAACCAAAACAGCATGGTACTGGTACCAAAACAGAGATATAGATCAATGGAACAGAACAGAGCCCTCAGAAATAATGCCGCATATCTACAACTATCTGATCTTTGACAAACCTGACAAAAACAAGCAATGGGGAAAGGATCCTCTATTTAATAAATGGTGCTGGGAAAACTGGCTAGCCATATGTAGAAAGCTGAAACTGGATCCCTTCCTTACACCTTATACAAAAATTAATTCAAGATGGATTAAAGACTTAAATGTTAGACCTAAAACCATAAACACCCTAGAAGAAAACCTAGGCAATACCATTCGGGACATAGGCATTGGGCAAGGACTTCATGTCTAAAACACCAAAGGCAGTGGCAACAAAAGCCAAAATTGACAAATGGGATCTAATTAAAGAGCTTCTGCACAGCAGAAGAAACCACCATCAGAGTGAACAGGCAACCTACAGAATGGGAGAAAATTTTTGCAACCTACTCGTCCGACAAAGGGCTAATATCCAGAATCTACAATGAACTCCAACAGATTTACAAGAAAAAAACAAACAACCCCATCAAAAAGTGGGCAAAGGATATGAACAGACACTTCTCAAAAGAAGACATTTATGCAGCCAAAAAACACATGAAAAAATGCTCATCATCACTGGCCATCAGAGAAATGCAAATCAAAACCACAATGAGATACCATCTCACACCAGTTAGAATGGTGATCATTAAAAAGTCAGGAAACAACAGGTGCTGGAGAGGATGTGGAGAAATAGGAACACTTTTACACTGTTGGTGGGACTGTAAACTAGTTCAACCATTGTGGAAGTCGGTGTGGCGATTCCTCAGGGATCTAGAACTAGAAATACCATTTGACCCAGCCATCCCATTACTGGGAATATACCCAAAGGATTATAAATCATGCTGCTATAAAGACACATGCACACGTATGTTTGTTACGGCACTATTCACAATAGCAAAGACTTGGAACCAACCCAAATGTCCAACAATGATAGACTGTATTAAGAAAATGTGGCACATATACACCATGGAATATTATGCAGCCATAAAAAATGACGAGTTCATGTCTTTTGTAGGGACATGGATGAAGCTGGAAACCATCATTCTCAGCAAACTATCGCAAGGACAAAAAAACACTGCATGTTCTCACTCATAGGTGGGAATTGGACAGTGAGAACACATGGACACAGGAAGGGGAACATCACACACTGGGGACTGTTGTGGGGTGGGGGGAGCGGGGAGGGATAGCATTAGGAGATATACCTAATGCTAAATGACAAGTTGATGGGTACAACATGGCACATGTATACATATGTAACAAACCTGCACGTTGTGCACATGAAGTATAATAATAATAAGAAGAAGAAGAAAAAAGACTCAGTGCAGATGTCACCTCCTCTTGAAGCATTCCCCATCTCCTGGCCCACCACGGGAGGCTCGCATTTCCCCTTATGCTTCTAGTATTCTGATGCTTTCCATGGACTTCGTGATTGTCTGTTTAGATGTCCATCTGCCTTCTACACTAGTAATTCCTCCAGTGCAAGGAAGATCAGCTTTTTCTTTAAAACCCCAATAGCAGCCACCCCGGCCCCATGAAATGGCTAGTCCCCACCCACTCCCTGAGGCCATTTTGCAATGCTGCCTCTACTCTCTTCATCCCATTTTGCCTGAATATGGGCAAATACAGATCAGAAGAAGACATGATATGAAATCAAACTTTATTGAAGACTTCAAATAATGGAAGCGACTTTCAGTGAGGCAAACAAGAACAAAAGAACATAAGTATCCATTATTTCACTCACATGTTTTCAAAACTTCTGTGTCACGCATGATTCCATTCCTTGGTAATACTGCTGCAGTAAACGAGATGAAGTCCCTACCTTCAGGTGCTTGCGTTCTTATGAAGGGACCAGAGCAAATGGGTACATCTGACAGTGATTGAAATCAAATGTGATTTCAGTGAGTGATAAGAGCTGTGGTTACGATGAATCAGGTTGATGAAATGGAGAGGCTCAGGAGTGGGGTCTTCAGTGGAGTGGGAGGAAAGAGATTTGGCCAGATTTTCCCCTTAAACCAGGGTTTGAAGCCTGCTTTGCCAGATAGTAGGTCCACCTCCCCCACCCCCACAGGAATTGAACTGTATGCCTTACAAATTTTGTAGGCAAACTCCTGTGAGGGTGGGGGGAAGCAAGAGCAAGTGCTGGAAAAGGGGGTGGGCAGTGGAAATCTCACCTCAGCTGCTGCCCAGATGGGCGTGAAGGAAGGTGTGGGTGCAACTTGCTGATGAGTGTGGAGCGTGGGGCCGCTAGACAGCTCGAGCTGGTGGGTCTGAATCACCCATCTTGCCTCACCTTTCCTGCTAAAGTGCACAGAACACCACACAAGCTGCCCGGTCAGCTCCTCCCCACATCCCTGGAGGGGTCAGTGAGGGATTTTTTTTTTTTTTTTTTTTTTACCTGAGATGGACTCTTGCTCTGTCTCCAGGCTGGAGTGCAGTGACGTGATCTTGGCTCACTGCAACCTTTGCCTCCTGGGTTCAAGCAATTCCCCTGCCTTAGCCTCCCCCGTAGCTGGGACTAGAGGCACGCGCCACCACGCCTGCTAATTTTTTCTATTTTAGTAGAGACGGGGTTTCACCATGTTGACCAGGATGGTCTCGATCTCCTGACCTCGTGATTTGCCTGCCTCGGCCTCCCAGTGTTCTGGGATTACAAGCGTGAGCCACTGTGCCTGGCCCACTGAGGGTTTCTTTGGGCGGTAACAGGAGATCATGTTCTAATTAAGTGTCATCTCTATGTTAATTACAATTCTCCTTCCCCAAGAATTCGAGACAGAGGGACAGAGGAGATGAGCTGGTTTTGTTCTGTTCTCTATTTATGCACAGTTCCACTTGTGGCAAATTGCAGTGTTTTCACTTATAAAAATATCTGATTCTTCTGATGCCTCCGAAAATGATCCAGCCGACGTTTTGCAAGGTCATGTGCTTCTCACACTCCAGTCAATGATGCACCTGTGACTGGTTTTTTTCTAATCAGAGAGAACTTTGCATTTTAATTCTATTATTGAGGAAGGAAGGTGGACTGAGTTTGTAATCCCAGCTACTGGGGAGGCCGAGGCAGGAGGATTGTTTGAGCCCAGAGTTTGCGATCAGTCTGGGCAAGAGGGAAACCATGAACAAAAGAGAAAGGGAGAAATGAAATAAATAAAGAGCTAGAGGCCGGGCGCGGTGGCTCACGCCTGTCATCCCAGCACTTTGGGAGGCCGAGGCGGGCGAATCACGAGGTCAGGAGATCGAGACCATCCTGGCTAACGTGGTGAAATCCCGTCTCTACTAAAAATACAAAAAATTAGCCGGGTGTGGTGGCGGGCACCTGTAGTCCCAGCTACTCGGGAGGCTGAGGCAAGAGAATGGTGTGAACCCAGGAGGCGGAGCTTGCGGTGAGCAGAGATTGCACCACTGCACTCCAGCCTGGGCGACGGAGCGAGACTCCGTCTTAAAAAATAACAATAATAATAAATTCAGAAAGGTTGACGTTGGTGCAATGCCGTCACCTGATTTGCAGTCCATACTCACAGGTCACCAGTTTCCCTCCCAGCAGTGTCCTAGCGGCTCAGGCCTCCTCGGTTGTCAGGTCTCCTTAATGTCTTTGGATCTGTAGCAGTTCCTTGGGCTTTCTTTGTCTTTCATGACACTGACATTTTTGAAGAGCTCAGGCTCCTGGTTTGGCAGAATGGCTCTCTTTGGGTCTCTCTGATACCTCGTCGTGGTTAGGTCCAGATGATGCAGCCTTGGGTAGGAGCACCTTGGAAATGACGCGTCCTTCTCCTTGGATCTGTCGGGGGGACATGATGTCAGTGTCTTTCGTTTTCATGATTTCACTGGGCCACCTTCAGAAATAAAATACCTGGGTCAATATGGTGCTTTGCTTTTCTTTTTTTTGAGACGGAGTCTTGTTCTGTCACCCAGGCTGGAGTGCAGTAGTGCGATCTTGGCTCACTGCAACCTCTGCCTCCCAGGTTCAAGCGATCTCCTGCCTCAGCCTCCCGAGTAGCTGGGATTATAGGGGCCCGCCAGCACCCCTGGCTAATTTTTTTTTTTTTGTATTTTTAGTAGAGACGGGGTTTCAGTGGGTTGGCCAGGCTGGTCTCGAACTTCTGACCTCGTGATCCACCCGCCTCAGCCTCCTAAAGTGCTGGGGTTACAGTCATGAGCCACTGCACCCGGCCGAAAGTGGTGCTTTTCTAGGAACCGCTATCACATCTTCCTTTCTCTGATCCTCCTCTACCCCTAGGCTTGATAAAAGAGCTTCTTTCTGACTCGGGTTGAATTCTTACCTCGCACTGGGACTCCTTCTGGGCCAGTCTCAGGGAGTCAGGACGCTTGGTCCACGCCGTGGCTCTTGCCCTCATGCTGCTCCAGGCTCTCCTCTGGGCCAGCTCTTCAGTGAAAGGGTGGCCTGCCCCTCCACACCCGTGGGTGTTTCTCGTCAGGTGGAAGGAGAGACTTGAGAAAAGAAAGACGCAGATACAAAGTATAGAGAAAGAAAAGTGGGCCCAGGGGACCGGCGCTCAGCATACGGAGGACCTGCGCCCGCACCAGTCTCTGAGTTCCCTCAGTATTTATTGATCATTATTTCTACCATCTCGGAGAGGGGGATGTGGCAGGACAATAAGGTAATAGTGGGGACAGGGTCAGCAGGAAAACATGAACAAATGTCTCTGTGTCATAAACAAGGTTAGAAAATGTGCTGTGCTTTGGTGTGCACATACATAAAAATATCTGGTGCATTAAAGAGCAGTATTGCCGGCAGCGTGTCTCACCTCCAGCCTTAAGGCGGTTTTCTCCTATCTCAGCATATGGAACATACAATCGGGTTTTACATGGAGACATTCCATTACCCAGGGATGAGCAGGAGACAGATGCCTTCCTCTTATCTCAACTGCATAGAGGCCTTCCTCTTTCACCAATCCTCCTCAGCACAGACCCTTTACGGGTGTCGGGCTGGGGGACGATCAGGTCTTTCCCTTCCCACGAGGCCGTATTTCAGACTGTCACATGGGGAGAAAACTTGGACAATACCTGGCTTTCCTAGGCAGAGGTCCCTGCGGCCTTCCACAGTGTTTTGTGTCCCTGGGTACTTGAGATTAGGGAGTGGTGATGGCTTTTAACAAGCATGCTGCCTTCAAGCGTTTGTTTAACAAAGCGCATCCTGCATAGCCCTAAATCCATTAAACCTTGAGTGGACACAGCACATGTTTCTGCTAGCACGGGGTTGGGGGTAGGGTTACAGATTAACAGCATCTCAAGGCATAAGAATTTTTCTTAGTACAGAACAAAATGGAGTCTCTTATGTCTACTTCTTTCTACATAGACACAGTAACAGTCTGATCTCTCTTTCTTTTCCCTACACTTCTGCTCTCCCCATAGCTCATTTCCCCGTTTCTCTCAGTTGGCTCGACCCCCTGATCTCTGTCCCCTATGAGGCTGGGCTAGCACCCGTCCTGGAACAGTCAGGCCCTGGTCTTTTGTTCTTTGACTCTCTTCTCAATAAGGGTCACTTCTCTTTTGCCCGAAGCTGGTGGGCCTCCATGGTGCCCTCGATGGCCAGGGTACTGAGAACTCAAAGGCAGGCAGGAGTGTCAGGGTTTTTCTCTCCAGGCTACAAGCCACGCTCAGCTTTTGGGTGGCAGAGGGACGTGGGGGCATGGCTCATCACCAGGGAGAAGGGGGAGCCTCCAAAGTCTGCTTCTGCCAGGAAAGAAATTGGGGATCTGCTGGGGCTGCTTCTGGTAGCGTCTGAGTGGCATGTGGACCAGGTACCCTGGTACTGTACGCCTAATAGATAGCACCCGCTGTCCCCGTCTCCCCCGCAGGGCACCCTCATCCAGCATCGGACGGAGCACCTGCTGCACAGCAACATGACCAGCGGTGACATCCTTCTGTGCTACATCACGGTAAAGGCTTCCACAGGCACCAGCCTGTGCTACATCCAGTGAAGGCTTCCCCGGGTTGCTGCCCTGTGGTATATACAGTGAGGGCTTCCCCGGGCGCCAGCCCATGACACCCGGTAAGGGTTTCCCTGGGGTACTTGCCCGGGCTACACATGGTAAGGACTTTCCTGGGGTGCTGGCCTGTGCTACACACAGTGAGGGCTTCCCCAGGATGCTGACCCGTGTTACACACTGTAAGAGCTTCCCCAGGGTGCTTGCCCAGGCTACACACAGTAAGGGCTTCCCCTGGGCGCCGGCCCGTGCTACACCATGGTAAGGGCTTCCCCGGGGTGCTTCCTGTGCTGCACCTCAGTGAGGGCTTCCCCAGGGCACAGTGTCAAGATGGCCCCGCTCCTCCGCCCTCCCTGCCTCAGCAGCATGGAGTCCACACCTTGAAACCACAACCCCAACTTCAGGTGTTAGAGGGCTTCCTGCCCTTGTTGAGCACTGAAAGACAAAAGGTTAGGACAAGTTAAAGGAAGTGTGTTTTACCCCAGAGGGGAACTCAAAACATCAGGAGCTTCCAGAATGATCTAGGTGCAGGTCCTGGGCGGTGCTTCTGTGCTGAGTTTTTATGCCAAGTGGAATGCCACAGGCACGTGCCTGACCTGTGAGGTCAATGCCCAGGGCCCTTCTATGCCCCTTGTGAGAGACTCCCCGGGACCTCACACAGATGCAGGAGGGGGACAGACCCCTGGGACCTCACACAGATGCAGGAGGGGGACAGACCCCTGGGACCTCACTCAGACACCGGTGAAGGGGACAGACCTCTGGGACCTCCCACAGACACCGGTGAAGGGGACAGACCCCTGGGATCACACGCAGACTCAGGAGGGGGGGACCTTAGGTGTGTTTTTGACGTGTGACTGTGGAGAGGCCACTCCCGGCTCTCTGTGACCAGCTGTGAATTAACATGGTTCTTGGGACAAATGATTCAGGTTTCTTTCAGCTGCAGGGATTTGCTCTACAACCCACCCCATCCCCAATCCCTAACGTAGAATACTGGTGCCAGCCGCACCCCCACCAATGAGCCCTCGTGTGCCGGGTCCTTTCTCAGATGTTTCAGAGCAGGAAGCCCGGGCAGCAGCATCAGTGCAGCGTCCTTATGGAGCTGCAGAAAGCTCCCAGCAGCTACGAGGATGCAGGGTTCGGCTGCCTCCCTGGGACACCGCAATTTAAAATGTCAGGGTCTTGTATTGAGAGGAAAGATACAATGGAAAGAACTCAAAAATTTGGAGCAGTTTTCTCAGAGGCATTTCATTTTTACTGGAAGGATCCTGCTCACTAAGAATCAGGCAGTTAGATTTTTCCTTGGAGCAGCTTGACCCCACCTGGATTCTAACAGCAGCCTCACTGGCAGTTTCACATCCTGCAGCCCTGGGCCCAGCCTGTACTGTGACCCACTCGTCCTCCCTCCCCACTTCCCTCCCTCCCTCCTTTCCTCTCCCTTCCTTTCCTGTTTTCCCTTTGCTTTCTCCCCCCTTTTTCCCTTTACCTTTCATCTTTTCTTTTGATAGAGTCTCACTCTGTTGCTCAGGCTGGAGTGCAGTGGTGATCATGGCTCACTGCAGCCTCGACCTCCTGGGCTCAAGTAATCCTCCCGCCTCAGCCTCCAGGAGTAGCTGAAACCACAGGTGCACTCCACCACGCCTGGCTAATTTAAAAAAAAATTTTTTTCTAGAGGCCAGACATGGTGGCTCACGCCTGTAATCCCAACACTTCGGGAGGACGAGGCAGGTGGATCATTTGAGGTTGGGAGTTTGAGACCAGCCTGGCCAACACGATGAAACCCTTTCTCTACTAAAAATACAAAAAAGCCGGGCATGGTGGTGGGCGCCTGTAATCCCAGCTACTTGGGAGGCTGGAGTGGGTGGATCACTTGAACCCAAGAGGCAGAGGTTGCAGTGAGCCGAGATCATGCCACTGCATGCCAGCCTGGGTGACAGCGAGACTCCGTTCTAAAAGAAATAAAATTGCTTTTCCGTAGACACAAGGTCTCACTGTGTTACCCAGGCTGGTCTCAACCTCCTGAGCTCAAGTGATCTTCCCACCTTGGCTTCCCAAAATGGTGGGATTACAGGTGTGAGCCACAATGCCTTGACTCAGCTTTCAGCAGCTTTGTTGGACAGTGAGGTGGCCAGGAATGCTGTGCTGCTCCGGGCTTCCAGGCACTGGTTTCCCCTTTGGTGAATAGTTCCTTAATAAAAGAAACTGAACGGGTACGTTGAGACCTGTTCAGAAAGCAGCTCCATGGCCAGGCGTGGTGGCTCATGCCTGTAATCCCAGCAGTTTGTGAGGCTGAGGCAGGAGGATCCCTTGAGGCCGGGACTTCAAGACTAGCCTGGACAACAAAGAGCGACCTCATCTACAAAAAATAAGAACATTAGCTGGGCGTGGTGGCTCACACCTGTGGTCCCAGGTATGTGGGAGTCTGCGGCAGGAGAATCACTTGAGGTTAGGAGGTTGAGGCTGCGGTGAGCTGTGATTGTGCCACTGCACTCCAGCCTGGGTGACAGAGTGAGACCCTGTCTCAGGAAAAAAGAAGAAAGCAGTTTGACTAGAGACCTTGCCTGTGTCCTCGTGTCCTTGTGCCCTCTGCCTCTGTGAGTGGGAAGTAGGTGTGGGTGGGGCTTCCCAGGGATGTTGGTTTTGGGTCACTGTCGCCTACGTGAATTGGGGACAGCCCTAGGCTGCGGCAGGCGGGAGGCAGGTTCCTGACGTAGGCTAAACCACGTCGTTCATGCCGTAGGTGACCTGCTGGCCTGGCGCTCTGTTTCATCCTGAGTCCTGCGAGCTGTTGTCCAGGGGTTCTGACCCAGGGCTGAGTGAGAACCACTTGGGGTTGTCACATGGCCACCGCATCCCCGCCCTCTGAGATTCTGACCTTGGGGCTGTGGGGCGAGGCCCAGGACACCCAGCCACGTCCGCTCCAGTCCTCCCAGGCTGGGCGCATCCCCGGTGACCTCCTTGCCTCCATGGTGGGGTTGGGGTGCTCCCTGTTGCCCTCCAGGGCCAAGATTCCTGCTGGAACTTCCCCCTCACTCTGTCATGGTATTTGTTTCGCTCCAGGACCACCCATGGAGTCTCCCTGTCTAGATGAGGGTGCTGTGAGTGTATCTGCACCTTCTTGCCTTAACGTTTTTGAAATTAATAATAGTTTTCAATTAAAATAAAAAAACTTAAATCTTCTTGGATATGGCAAAAATTTCAAGCAGCCCCAGTAGGATGTGTGGGGAAAGGCTGGGTGTCTCCCAGGGCCCAGAGGCAGCCATGCCAATCATTTTCATTGCCTCAGTGTGGATCGTTGCCCCTGTAGGCGTGTGTGTGTGTGCGCACGTGTGCGTGCATGTGTGCGTGAGTGCGTGTGTGCGCACGTGTGTGTGAGTGCATGTGTGCACGTGTGTGTGTGCATATGTATGGGCATGTGTGTGTGAGCGTGTGTGTTTACATATCTGTCCTTTCCTCTGGACTGACAGGGTTATGCTGCATGCTTGCTTTGTATGAACAATGTCTTGGAGACGGTTCCGCGTCAGCCCAGACCTCCTTCTTTGGAGACGGTTCCGCGTCAGCCCAGACCTCCTTCTTTGGAGACGGTTCCGCGTCAGCCCAGACCTCCTTCTTTGGAGGCGGTTCCGCGTCAGCCCAGACCTCATTCTGTTTCATGGCTGCTTAATTGCTTCCCTCATCCTGCTGGGGCCAGGCGCTGTTCTGAACGTCTCTTGTGAGTTCATTAGCTGCGTAGTGGTGTGAGTAGCATGTGTGCACCTCCTGTGGCCTTTCTTGTGTCGATAACACCTACATTGCTTTGTCTCTGTCACCAGCAAGTGAGCAACAGACGTTCTGTGACACGTCTTCATGCACATGTATGAATATGTCTGTGCGATCCATTCTTAGATGTGGAGTTGCTGGGCCAAAGTGTCATGAGTTTGAAATGGGCAGTTAGCACCAACCTGTGGCTCCATCTTAGGTGGTTTTCCAGGGACACAGGAAGCTGAGGGGCAGCTGCGGGGGGAGCTGCCTGGTGCCTGCTGAAGCCACACCCCTCCTGTCTTTGCAGGTGGGCTGGATGATGCGGAACGGGATGGTGTCCATTCTGGCCACAGGAGTGGCCGTGGTCTTGTACGATGGCTCCCCCTGGTGCCCGTGCCCAACATGCTCTGGGACCTGGTTGACAGGATAGGGTAGGTACCAAGATGCTGTGCCCAGAACAAGGGATAGGCAGCACCAGGAAGGCTCCTTGGGATCGGATGCAGAGCCGTGGCTGCCTTCTACCGAGCTCGGGGCGTCTCCGGAATTCTCTGCTTTTGTTGATGTCCCCTCTCTAAGAGGAGGATGTGGGAGGTGCCAGAAGCGGAAGGTGAAGCTGTTAAGGAGGGAGGGACACCAAGGACCAGGGCCTTTCTCTCTAGAGTGAGGGCTGAGAAAAATCCCACGGGCAGCGTTTGATCTCATTTCTTTTAAAAATCTATTTCTATTTTTAAGATTATTTTTTAGTAACAATTGCGTATATCGTAAGGCGCACAACGTCGTATTTTGCTGTGTATGCACGTAGTGAAATGAGGACTGCAGTCAGGCAAATTCGCATTTGCATCTCCTCACACAGTTACCTTTTTGTGTTTAGCAATGAAAGTGCCTGAAATCGACTCTCAGCAAAGTTCCAGCACTTGCACAGTATGGCGTTGTCAACTGCAGCCATCGTGCTGCGCATTGATCTTATCTCTGTAGTTGTGGCATTTCCCAGCAAAAGGAGGAAAACTGAGGGTCACTTAGAGTTCTGTTTTACACACGTTCTTCAGACTCAGGAGTGAGATTGTGTTCGTCCATTTTCATACTGCTATGAAGAAAAACGTGACACTGGGTAATTTATAAAGAAAAAGAGGTTGAATGGACTCAGAGTTTCACATGGCTGGGGAGGCCTCACAATCATGGAATAAGGTGAAGGAGGAGCAAACGGATGTCTTCCATGGCAGGAGGCAAGAGAGCATGTGCAGGAGAACTGTCCTTTATAAAACCATCAGATCTCGTGAGACTTATTCACTATCGAGAGAACAGCACGGGAAAAACCTGCTCCCATGATTCAGTGACCTCCTATGACACATTACAGTTCAAGATGAGATTTGGGTGGGGACAGCCAAACCATATCAGAGATGAAGTGAGGTGAAGGCTGAACGCCCAGGGGAGATGTGTGGATAAGTTCATGACGGGTGGGTGCAGAACCTGTGACTGGGGGGCTGCGTGGCACTTGGATTTCCTGCCACCTTTCTCCTGAGCCTATTGGCAGGAGGAGAGCCCTGCTTGTCCCTAGCTGTCCCTTGGGGCTGGCGGCCACCTGTCTTCCAGGGTTCTCCTCACCTCATCATAATAAACTGAGTGCTTCCTGGGGCCCCTGGAGGTGGTCACTTTTTTCCTGTAGCCCTGGCTGGATGGTAGACAGGAATCCCATGAGCAGAGGCGGGAGCCAGTTAGGAGAGACACATCAGGTACCCTCCCAGTGCCCGAGAATTATCCAAATGGGGATGGGTACGGTGGTCCCTGCCCCCACCCCTTATCATCATCATCATCATTAGAAGGCATCAGAACATCTAGTCTCATCAGCACTTTGCTGATGAATTAATTACAGTCAGCTGGCGTGTTCTGGCCACTATGGTCTTGATCACCCTTGGCCTAATGACAGTGTTTCCAGAGATGATAATGTAGAAGTTGGCCGGGCGTGGTGGCTCACGCCTGTAGTCCCAGCACTTTGGGAGGCCGAGGCGGGCAGATCACGAGGTCAGGAGATCGAGACCATCCTGGCTAACACGGTGAAATCCCGTCTCTACTAAAAATACAAAAAAAAAAAAAAAAAAAAGCCGGGCATGGTGGCAGGTGTCTGTAGTCCCAGCTACTTGGGAGGCTGAGGCAGGAGAATGGCGTGAACCTGGGAGGCGGAGCTTGCAGTGAGCCGGGATCATGCCACTGTACTCCAGCCTGGGCGACAGAGCAAGACTCCGTCTCAAAAAAAAAAAAATGTAGAAGTTGCCAGAAGCTCCAGAAACAACTGTGCTCTGATGTCCTCATTACTCTACATCTGATTCTGTTCATGAGGGAATAGGAGCCACTCATGTTTGTAAAGCCTTGGCTTTTAACATTTTAAATATAACTTGGCCTGGCCTGGGTGATATTGAGATCCTGACATTTGGCTCACAATCTTAGTGAGGAAGGCTATTTCCTAATGAGATTGTTTCCAGCGAAGGTTAATCAAATCCCCGGGAACTTGAGATGGCTCTAGAATCTTTACCTTTTCACCCTTACACCAGGCTCCAGGTGGCGGAGCTTTTGTTGTTGTGTGTGGGAGGCATGCACTGGATCAGGGGTTACTGGAGAGGGATGGAGAGGGAATGTACATCAGTGGGGTCTAATGCTAATGAGATCCAAGGATGAAGGGTCCCAGGGAGACCCTGCTGTGTGTGCATGGGTGCGAGCCCGCGTGTGTGCACAAGTGCGTGTGAGAGTGTGTGTGTGTGCATGGAGTGTGATAATGTGAAAGGGAGGGTGTGAGTGCGTATGTGCGTGTGTATGTGCACATACATGTGTGAGTGCAAGTGAGTGCATGAATGTGTGCGTGGGTGTATGCGTGTATAGGTGTGGGTGTGTGTGTGCATGCAGCTGTGAATGTATGCTGTACATGTGGATATATGTGTGCTTTGTGTATGTGTGCACACATACATGAACGAGCGTTCACAGCACGGTGGCTGGTTCCATGCCGTCATCAGGGGCCCTGGGTTGGTCAGAGCACCAAGGCTGGCTGAGGTGTGGTCATGCTGTCGCAGGGCTCCCTGTGGATGTGGCCTTTACCCTGCCTGGGAGAGCGTCTTGTGCAGTTTGGCGAGGCAGGTGTGACTCGGTACCCAGGCAGGGGCTGCGGGTGAGGGGCTGTCAGAAGGATGCAGGCTTCAAGCCACTGCCCTGGTCGCCACTGGCAGTGAGAGGGAGCCGGTGCTGGGCGGGGCAGGGTGCTTCAGCTCAGCTCTGTCCACCTCCTGGAAACTGAATGTTGTGCAACAGTTGAATGCAGTCATGGCAAATCCTGTTATGTGACAAGAGGAGCACAGGGCAGGCACAGTCCTCACGATGCTGTCTCAGGGCCTCTGATTAAATCCCATGTCTGTTAGTAAATGTGGAGTGAGATGTCTATTGATTACTGGCATGTCAGCTCCCAGCCTTATTGACACTTTTGATAAAAGAGCATTTATTTTGTAGGCACAGACAAGATAATTTTTTTTTTTTTGAGACAGAGTCTTGCTCTGTCGCCCAGGCTGGAGTGCAGTGGTGTGATTTCGGCTCACTGCAAGCTCCGCCTCCCGGGTTCACGCCATTCTCCTGCTTCAGCCTCCCGAGTAGCTGGGACTACAGGCGCCCGCCACCACACCCAGCTAATTTCTTTTTGTATTTTTAGTAGAGACGGGGTTTCACTGTGTTAGCCAGGATGGCTACGATCTGCTGACCTCGTGAGCCGCCCGCCTCGGCCTCCCAAAGTGCTGGGATTACAGGCGTGAGCCACCGCGCCCGGCCCAGACAAGATAAGACGAATTTTATTCTTCATGGAGGTGTGTTGCTAGGCTCCAGTGCGGGGAATATTCTGGATAGAATTAGGGCCAGGACCCCGGGGACTTTGCCCAGGTTTGCTGGTAGTGGAGCAGGTGTGGATGTTGTCTGGAATGCCCGGTGTTGTCCGTCTCTGAATGGGGCCATCGTCTAAGATGGTTCTAGAGGTCAGGGGCCTTGCAGGCCAGCAGGCTTGTCCTTCTAAGGAAGTGCATGGGTTGGGCAGTGCTCTGCTGGGATCTACACCCCGTGTATGCTGGGCTACGTGCTCTGTGCCAAGCTCCCTACTGGGTCCTGGGGGCCACACAGCAGCGACCTGGGGCCAGCACTCTGTCCTCATGGGCTGGTAGTGGGAGGGGGAAGGTAAGGAAATGAGAGAGGCTGATCTTGGGCTCTGAGGAGTGCTGTCAGGAACTAGCTTTGCAGGACTGGGGACATGTGCTTCAGGCAGAGGGAACCACCAGAACCCAGGATCGGAGCTGGGCCTGAGATGCATGTGTTGTGGAAGCTGGAAGGGGCCTCCTGGGGCCTGAGTGCAAAGGGCTGATGTGAGACTGGGGGCAGGAAAGAGGGGTCAGAGAGGGAGGGACTTTTGGGACTGCTTGGAGGGTGAGTTTTTCCCTGAGTGGAATGGAACAGCAGTGGACGCTTTGCATCAGGAGAGCACTGTGATCTGGTTCATGTTATTAAAAGGGCAGTGTAGACTGGGTGTGGTGGCGCACGCCTGTAATCCCAGTTACTTGAGAGGCTGAGGCAGGAGGATCACTTAAACCCTGGAGGCGGAGGTTGCTGTGAGCCAAGATCACGCCACTGCACTCCAGCCTGAGTGACACAGAGACTCTGTCTCAAAAAAAAAACAAAAAACGGTGGTGTAGCACCTGAGTGGAGAAGAGAGTGTTGCAGGGGCAGAAGCTGGGAGACTCAGGTTGGTGGAGCCCACAGGTGCGCTGGTGACCCTGGAGGGGCGGCCTCTAGGCTGATCCACACCCGGCTCTGCCCAGGGCTCCAGGCAGTTGCAGGCACCGGGTCCCAATGGTTTAGGGCCCTGACGCTGTCTCATGCTTCGGTGCAGCGACCCCTACAGTACTCGCTAGAAATAAGACGTGGCATGAGTGCCCGCAGGTGAGCTCCCATGCTTCCGTGAGCTGAATGGTGTTGCATTTCCTAACTGTCTTAGGTGCACCCTGGAGGTAGATGGGGGACTTTGCCGTTTCTTCAGACAAGCAGGGCTGTGACTCCCAGGTTGGAGAGCACCACCTCCGAGTGCTGGTGGAGCCTCACCCAGATCGGGGTGTGCAGAGTCTTGCCTGCACTAGACGTGCTTTAGAACCACAGAGAGCCTTCGAGTTTTCTGGGAGTGGGCAGTGGGCGGATAAGCTACATAAAACCCGTGTGGTGTTTGGGCGTGGCTGTTGGAGAGCTTTGTACCTGTAGCTGGAGGTGGTCACTGTTGTCCAGGGCCGGGTGATCACCATCAGAGTCATGAGGTCTCCATCTTCTGTTATTGATACTTGCAAAGGGAGTGACACCTTCATCCTTGGCTGTGATGTTGAAGTAGTTAATCAAACTCTGGGTTTGTGAAAGAAGCATGAGGGATGGTGGGAGGAGCTAGTCTCCCTCTCCCAAAACTCTAGCCATCTCTAGGGTACAGTGGTGGCTTTGTCAGTGGCAGGGTGGGTCTCGGAAAGTAAAGGAATGAAGGTGTGGGAGATGGAAGGACTAAGGTAATCTGCCTCCTTGCATGGAGGGAGACCCACCCTGCCATTGCCTTAGCCACGCCCAGCCAGTTTTGAATTCCAGGACATTCTGTGCCACGCTGCCTCACACCTTCAGACAGCGAGTTCCATGGCAGTCTTCCCTCCCTGGGACGAGTCTCTCCACCGAATGTGCGGGGACTGAGGTTCTACTGCCCATAGTGACACGGAACGGTCTTAATCTCTGGGCCCCAAAGAGAAAAATGTTCTTTAGTTGGGAAGATCAGGTTTACATGTGAAGGGCTGCCTGGCTGGAAGAGAAGCTGAGGAAGGAAATAGCGTATTAGACGGTGCTGCCCTTGAAAACGCAGTGATGTATATTCAGCAGCGTGTGTCGTTCGCTGAGCACAAACGTTCATAGAACTGTGGATTCTAAACGTTCAAGAAGAGCTGCACTTTTCTAAATTTCATAGAAATGTGAACTTGTTTAAGAAAAAGGGATGGGTAGAGGGTTTCACCTATGGCACACGTTTTAACAAAGAATTCTCCCAGCACTTTGGGAGCCAAAGCAGGAGGATCACTTGCGCCCAGGAGTTGGAGACTGCAGTGAGCTGTGATTGCACCACTGCACTCCAGCCTGCGGCACCAGAGGGAGACGCTGTCTCAAAAACAAAACAAAACAAACAAACTAATAATAATTCTGTAGCGCTGTCTTCATTGGTGAATGAATGTGTGAGGATAGAATTTGAGAGGTCTTAATTTTATGGCCTCCTTTGGTCCCCCAAGATAAAACACACTGCAGCTGCGAAAATGATGGGTTCTTGTGAACAACTGTTTTATGTGAAGCCTCATGGTAGAGGGAGCTGGCCCTGCATACTGGTATCAGCGTAAAGAACAGTCAGGCGTGCCTGTGAGCAAGGCAGGGCCGTGACTCAGACTTCAGTAAACACGAAGTGTGAGTTCAACCCAGAAAAATGCTGTCTCAGGTTTTGCAGACTTGTCAGAAATAAATCACCAACTTTAGGAAGCTTTGGTGCAAGAGCCTTGAAGAATTTTCTTCAAGGTGTTTTCTTTCCTGCCTGCATCCTAGCATCCTGGTAACCAGGGCGAAGTGGCTGTCGGTGCTGGAAGAGAAGGCCGTGAAGCCGGGTGAGTGTGCCTCTTTAATACTCATTCCCTGTACTGCCAATCAAGGCAGTTAAATCCATCCTGTTTCCTGCTTGTGAGTGAGGCTTCAGGAGCTGGGTTTACTTTTAATCTTTTGGTGATTCTTCACCCCAGTGGAAACCCACAGTCTCCAGATGCCCCAGACACATCCAGCCATTAGAAGTGCAAGGATGAAAGTATTTGTTTAGATGGAAGTATACTGATGGACATTGAAACGTGGTGATGATGAGTGAAATAATCAAATTGCAGAAGATCGTGCTCCAGACACGATCCTGTCCACCGCCTCCCTGCTGAAGGCCTAGAGCAACGAGTGTGTCTACAGGTGTGTCAAGAGCAGTGTCCTCCTGGCCTTCATCTCACGTATGGCTCTGCAGGGGACAGACCTCCCAGCCATCCCCGCCTCTGGAAGGCAGACCGGCCCCATAAGTATGCACACCCCCTGCCCAGTGCTTGGTTTCATCCCAAGGACACGGTCTACGGGGCAGCCAATATGCACAGTCCCTTCTCGTTATCTGAGGCAGCAATGCTCCACAAAGTCACTGTGAACACCGAGTTAGCACATATGGAACCCTTGCCCCGGGGGAAATATATTTATACACACACCTCTCACATCGATTATAGTCTTAAAATCCAAAACAACACATCTTGCTTCTATTTTTTTATCTTGTGAAAGAGAAAATGCAGTTCAGAGGCGTTCAGTGACTTGCCCAAGGCCACTGTCAGGTGCCAGAGCTGGGATGCAAAGCCTGGGAACGAGGCACCCTGCCTCACCCTGCCCCGGTCTCCTGTGTGTGAGAGGGAGCTAGGGAGGCCACGTCTCCTTGTGTGACCTCAGTGGGAACCGACATGGGTGACTCAGGGTTTTGACTGCTCTGCAGTGTCTGAGAGTGACCGCAAAAGCTCCAGAGTATAGTTCTGGAGGTTACACATGCATTTTAGTGAGTAGGCAAATTCACAAAACTAAAATCTGCAAATGGAAGCCACTGTATGGAAGGACAAATATTGCAACATTGTTTATATGAGGAAAAATAGACACTACCTGTATGCCCAGCAGAAGGAAATTCATTGAATAATTTAGGGTACATTCTTAATTTATGCAACCATTAGAAGTGCAAGGATGAAAGTATTTGTTTAGATAGAAATATACTGATGGACGTTGAAACATGGTCATCATGAGTGAAATAATCAGATTGCAGCATTATAAGGTGCGGTCATGTTTGTAGGTTGAAAACGGGAATATATGGATGTTTACATGCATACTCATATATGTATATACATGGGTGTATTATATGTGGATTCCAACTGATTTTTTTTGTTTGTTTGATTTTTTGAGAGGGAGTCTCACTCCAGCCCAGGCTGGAGTGCAGTGGGTGCAATCTCAGCTCACCGCAACCTCTGCCTCCTGGGTTCAAGCAGTTCTCTTGCCTCAGCCTCCCAAGTAGCTGGGATTACGGGCATGTGCCACCACGCCCAACTAATTTTTCTGTATTGTTAGTAGAGATAGGGTTTCACATATTGGCCAGGCTGGTCTCAAACTCCTGACCTCAGGCGATCCACCCACCTTGGCCTCCCAAAGTGCTGGGATTACAGGCGTGAGCCACTGTGCCTGTCCCCAAGTGCATTTTTTTGTCATAACTTTTTTCTTAACATAAAGTTGTGCCTTGGAAAATGGTTCATGAATGTGGAAAAAAATTCAGAGTCCACAAAGGTGTCCTCATTGCTGCCGCCCCCCTTCCCCAAGGAAGCCGACGTCGTTCCCTTCAGAGATGTTCTGTGCATAGGTGAGTGTGTGTGCCTGAGTGTGTGTTTGTGAGTGTGTGTAAATGGGGTGAGAGCACCCCCATTTTCTGTAGTTTAGGGTACATACCTCACTTCTCCTTAATGGGACTTAGAGTTGATTCCATTGCTGCCCATAGAAATCTTTGGGTCACTGTTTGTTTTTTGTTTGTTTTTTAGACAGGGATTTGCTCTGTTGCCCCTGCTGAAGTGCACAGTGACACGATCATGGCTCACTGCAGCCTCAGCCTCCTGGGCTCAAGTGATCCTCCCACTTCAGCCTCCTGTGTAGCTAGGACCACAGGTGCATGCCACCACACTCAGCTATGTTTTTTTATTTTTTGTGAAAACGGGGTTTCACCATGTTGCCTAGGGTGTTCTTGAACTCCTGAGCGCAAGTGATTCTCCCGCCTCGGCCTCCCAAAGTGCTGGGATTACAGGCGTGAACCACCGTGCCTGGCCTAGCTCACTTTTATTTTCTTTTTACACATCTGTAGTTGTGATTTTTCTCCTTGTGATTTGAAAACATACTCTCAGAGCACCTCTTTAAGGGATATGTTTGCCCAAAGCCTGAGGCCAACCCTCCAGCTTTCCTCCCCACTGTTGGTTCCTCAGCCTGAGGTGGGGGGTCTGAGCCATTCTTACCAGCAGGAAGGAGGTCAGGAGCCCTGCTCAGACCTTAATGGTGGCAGAAATGAATGTGACTCACTCATTTTCATGGGACACGTCAGTCAGTGACATGAAATGGCAGAGAAGACATCACCTTTTATTCTTTGCCTGAAGGAAGAAATAAAATCATCTTAGAGTTGAAGCCAAAATCAACCCTTCTGGTTTTTGGAGCCATCGAGTCATTTCATGTGGATCTTGAACACCCCCACACTCCCAGTTCATACACGCGGAGCCTGATTAGGGAAAACATTTGCTTTATGAAATTTTTTTTTCACGTATGTGAGTTGAGTATAAAGAGTAGCCTGGGCCGGGCACAGTAGCTCACAACTGTAATCCCAGCACTTCGGGATGCCGAGCCGGAAGGATTGCTTGAGCCCAGGAGTTCAAGACTAGCTTGAGCAACAGTGGGACCCTGTTTCTACAAAAAATTTAAAAAAAAAAAATTAGCCGTGGCTAGGCGGTGTGGTCACGCCTTAATCCCAGCACTATGGGAGGCTGAAGCGGGCAGATCACTTGAGGTCAGGAGTTCGAGACCAGCTAGGTCAACATGGTGAAACCTCATTTCTACCAAAAAAACCCCAAAAATTAGCCAGGCATGGTGACATATGCCTGTAATCCCAGCTACTCGGGAGGCTGAGGCAGGAATCACTTGAACTGGGGAGGTGGAGGTTGCAGTGAGCCGAGATTGTGCCACTGCACTCCAGCCTGGGAGACAGAGTGAGACTCTGTCTCAAAAAAAAAAAATTAGCTGGGCATGGTGTGTGCCTGTAGTCTCAACTGCTTGGGAGGCTGAGGTGGGAGGATCACTTGAGCCCAAGAGGTCAAGGCTGCAGTGAGCTAAGATCACACCACTGAGCTCCTGCTTGAGCAACAGAGTGAGACCCTGTTTCAAAGAAAAAGTTCAGACACCAGGCACGGGGCTAGGGAGGGGGCTCCTTGCCACCCCCCTCACACTCTTGGCTTTCTTCCCTGTGGGAGTGGAGTGACCCCGTCCTCAGCGTGTTCTGCCCTTGCTCTGCTCGTGTGTGTGTGAATGCATGCATGTGTGGTGTGTGCATGTGTGTGTGTTGTGTGTGCATGTATGTGTGGTGTGTGTGTGCGTGTGTGCTGTATGTTCCTCAGCGTGTCCTGCCCTTGCTGTGCTCGTGTGTGGCTGTATGTGTGGTGTATGCATGTGTGTGTACACCTGTGTGTGTGTGTGGTGTGTGGTGTATGTATGGTGTGTTTATGCATGTGTGTGTGTGCATGTGTGTGTATAGTGTGAGGGTCTTTGCCCTCCTGCAGATTCACCCTGCTGCTGTTTCCCTTCCCACACAGGCTTTTGGGTCAGGGGATGGCTGTTGGCTGTTGTCAGCAGCGGGCCTAAGTTGGAGGGTTCACGCTGCTCCCCTGCATGATGGCCCATGGAGGCTGACTCCATTTCCAGCTCATTCCAGAAACAGGAGTGTTTTTCCATGTAGCATAGTCTCTTGTGTGAGACATCACACTCCACGGTCTTTGCAGCTGGGAACGTTTCTGGTTTTTTTGCTTTTGAGACAGAATCTCTCCCTGTCACCCAAGCTGGAGTGCAGTGGCACAATCTCAGCTCACTGCAACCTTTGCCTCCTGGGTTCAACTGATTCTCATGCCTCAGCCTCCTGCGTAGCTGGGATTACAGGCACACACCACCATGCCTGGCTAATTTTTTGTATTTTTACTAGAGATGGGGTTTCACCATGTTGCCCAAGCTGGTCTTGAACTCCTGAGGTCAGGTAATCCACCCATCTCGGCCTCCCAAAGTGCTAGGATTACAGGCATGAGCAACCGTGCCCGGCCACGTTTCTGTTTTTCCAACCGTTAAGTCCACGTAAACCATGGCGTGCAAGCCTTCCCACGTGATGAGTCCGCATAGGCAGCGTCTGCTGGGTGGTTACCACAGGCAAAGCTTCCATTTTCTGCGATCCTGAATCTTGAATTTCAGTGTGACCACAAGAAGTCATTTACTTAGTGCATCCTCCAACAGCAAGGCTCGGCCAAAACGTCAATCACCAGATGAGGGGGGTTCATTCTAATTTCCATATCACCTCTCCCACTGCTGCCTGAAAAGAAGCCCCACCTGTCTGGGATGTTGCAGTGTTTGTCTGGGAGAGTAGATGTTTGTCGTCTTTGCACTTTCTCTTTTGTTGCTTACTGACTTAAAAGCAATTTGTCTTGGGCTTCTGAATTTCGACTCTCCTTTTGTCATTGCTTGCGGGAGGCACCGACATCACCTCCTGCTTCATGGGCCAGAATATTTCTCTTCCTGTGTATAAAGGGGAGATTCAGGCCTGGAACCTGGGCATGGCCGTGGATGCGTGGAATGAGGAAGGTGATGGCTCCGCCAACTGTTTCTTCCTGTGATTAGGCGTGAGTTGGGAGCTTGGGAGCGCTCGGATGTGTAACTTTGCTTGGTGATAGTTCTCCAAAACAGCCCTTGGAGGGAGGCCCCTGTCACTTGCAGCGTGATGTCCTTCCCCCCCAGCTTGGTTTAACACCCACCGGCTCCTGGTCCCCAGCTCCTGAGAGGTCAGGGTCGAGCTGGAGGACAGAGAGCTGTGTGCTCAGGAACGTCGGGCAAGTGGGTGATCGTTGCCCTGAATCTGAACCCTGGTGCTGGATACACAGGCAGCGGCCGGCTCTGAGCATCTGAGAGCCCGGTCATGGAAGGGATAGTCTCCTGCTGTGCTGTGCCTGGCAGCTAGAAACCCAGCTGTGCTAGGAAGGGTGAGCAGGGCTCAGTGCACCTGTTCTGCAGAGCAATGCGGGAGCAGTCAGTGAAGCTGAAGATGCATATGTGCCCTGTGATCTAGGAATTCCGCTTACGGAAGACAGACTTGTGATCCATGCAAGAATGTTTGTAGCCCCATGATTTGTAATGAAAACAAAATTGGGAACAATAGAAATGTCCATCCTTGGGCAGAAGTTCTGTGATCACACATGGCAAATGACCAAGCGGTAAATAGGAATGAACCAGAGCGACAGGTAGTAGCCCGAACGAGCCACCCAGATGTCATGTTGAGTGAGCACAGGAAGACGCGGGACACATAGAAGGACAGCGTGTGTGTGTTCAAAGGTATGCAAAGTGATGACACATAGTATTCAGGGATGCGTATGGATGGAGCAAAAATGTTAACACACATGGGAATAACAAATCACTATGTCCGAGACAGCGATTTTGGGGAGCACACAGGGAGGGGACTTCATGGGAGGAACACATTATTAGGCTCCCGTGAGAGGTGTGTGGGCGTGGACCATCTCTGTACCTTTGTGTATGTCTGGAATATTGCGTAATAAGTAATAGCTTAAGAGAGAAGAGAGAGCCAGTGTGTGGCTGTGGTGTGTGTTGGGCTTATTTTTAATTCTCCCATACCAGGAAAGGCGGTCTGGGGGAGACAGCAGCAAGCTGGTGTGTACTAAGCCGATCCCTTGCCAGCCCACACACTTCTGGAACAATGAGAACGGCAACAAGTACAGGAAGGCGTATTTCTCCAAATTCCCAGGTCGGCTGGAGAGATGCAGACAGAGCTGCCGAGCCTCTGCGTTGTCTGGGCCTTCCGTGCCTAGTCGTGTGTCCTCGTCCTTCCCCTCCCATCCTGCCCCTCCCCTCTTCCTTCCCCCACCAGGGCTTGGAGAAGCTGCATATAGCTCATTCCTCCAGTGGGGCGATAATCAATTTTTGATGAATATCTTGTCTTCAGCTTGAAGCTATCATGTGTAACTATAATCTGGGTTTAGCTGAATCTCAGCCACCTCTGCCCAGGGCCCCGGCCCCTGCTGCTGGGCGCTGGCATGTGCCTCTGGTTTGCACGTGGGAGGTGGAGGGTGCAGGGCCCACTCGCTGAAACAGGGTGATGCCAGGGTGATGCCTGCCTGTTCACGAGGAGCGGCATGTGGAAGTGGTGTCTGGCTCGGGTCTCTTCCTCTGTGTGTCTCACCATCATCCAGTCCTCGTGGAGATGCTAAGGAAGAGTGCTTTTGCGGTGGAAGGATTTACAACCCGACACATCCCTCTCACATAGACTGACACCCCTGAGTGTGGTTTGAGTGGTGCCTTGCCCCAAAGCAGGAAAGTCTTTTATTTAAAGCTCTGATTCCTGCCTCCCTCTAATCTTATTTCATAAGCAGTCTCAAGTTATTGCTGCCATATAATTCATCGTTTAGCAAACCTTCTGTTTCAGAGTTATTTATACTAAGTACTTGCTTGCTGCAGTCTCTCAAAAGGTAATGTGAGTGAGCAAAGAAGGACGCGGGGCACATAGCATAGACGTATGGAGAATCAGAAAGCAGCAAGTGGTAGGATTTGCCAGGGATCTTTCCTGCCCTGCATATTTGCATGTCACCGTAAAAGCCATCATGCTTGAAATAGCGCCTTCCTGCAGCAGCGTGGGGCATCCCCCCAGGGGTGGCTCAGCCTCCACTGCATCCCTGCTGCACCTAAGCCCCACCTCGGCTCCTGCTGTGAGCAGCTGTGCAGACAGACGAATGCAGAAAAGCAAGAGTGGATGTGGAGAAACACTCTTCAGATGACCCTGAGGAGGAGGGCAGGGGCTACTGCCTTGGGAGGAGAGGCCAAAAGGATTAGAGTCTCAGCTTGAGGATCCATCCAAGAAATGACAGCCCTTCATCTTCTGTAACATTGCTCTTTGAAAACTCTGTCACTTTTTTTGTCACATGTGCAAGGGTTCATGTGATGTGTCTCAGGATTAATTTCAGAATAACCTCTTTTTGAAACTGATATTCCTTCTTGGAGAAAACAAATACTTTGTGACATGATATATTTCCATTTTTGCCTTGGCTGTCAGGAAACTCAGAGCTGAAATCATTGCTTTGTTTTTGTAGTCCTCTTACCTTTAGGGTAGGGTTTTGCTTCTCTTTGAGTAATCCTATCTTGAAGTCAGTTTTAAAGGCAGCTTCCTTCGATACTTCCTGGGTGTAGATGAGAGACATGAATAAATATGGAAAGACAAAGGCAGATCAGAAATGAGATTTGAAGCTGTTTATCATGGACAGGGTGAACACAGCCTGCACTTAGACCATTTCTCAAGCACCAGCGCTGAGAGATTCTTGGGCTGTGTAGGAAATGGCATGATGGCAAAACCAAGCTACAAGAGCGAGTCTTCCTTTCCACAACTGGGAGTGGGTTTACGGACATCATTACCTTAAAAAATGATGCCAGGTGAAAGTGTGAACAGGCCGTATGCTGATGAGGTATTGCCCCTCCCAAGAGGGCATTAGCTGCGGGGGTCTGCCCGCAGACCCTGACCCAAACGACGGATGAATAAACATACACTGACACACAGATATTCTGCTTTGCCCGTCCAGCGGAGGGTCTGAGGCCACTCACAGACTGCAAGGAGGGTCCTGTAAAGAATGGCGACCACGGCCCTGAGCAGCTCGCGCTCCAGGCATTTACTTAGTATATAATTAACAACAGAAGTTCTGAGTCAACACACTTGTAGATAATGATTAAAAGCGAGGTTCCAAGGCTCCAAGCAAACACCATTAGTGGGTAATATCCCTGGTTGACCTCCCCCAGAGAGAGCCATCCTGCCCTCAGATGTCTGAAGGTCAGTCTTAAGACCACGTGAGTAAACAAGCTAACTAGATAACTTCCCCACATCCCATTGTTTACTAGTCTAATCTATTTAACTAATAGGTAATGGGACCAGGCCGCCTTTAGCCCCGTCTATTACTGAAGTCATGTGAAAACCCTCAGGCCTTCCAGAAGGGTTTTGTGCCTGTTGTAACTAATATTTTTCCCACCAGCCTGATCGAATCCCAACATGCTGGTATGGAAAGATTCAGGAAGTTAGTAAGTGAAAATGAGAATTCAAGAACAGAGGACCTAGCATTGCTTTTGTGTAAATTTTATTTTTTAATTAATCTTTTTTTAGAGGGTCTCCATCTGTCCCCCAGGCTGGAGTGCAGTGATGTGATCTCAGCTCACTGCAGCCTTGATCTCCAGGGCTCAAAGGATCCTCCCGCCTCAGCCTCCCAAGTAGCTGGGACTACAAGTGTGTGCTACCATGCCTGGTTAATTTTCATATTTTTTGTAGAGATGAGGTCTCTGTGTTGCCCAGGCTGGTCTCAAACTCGAGCTCCAGCAGTCCTCCTGCCTCAGCCTCCTCAAATCCTGGGATTACTAGTGTGAGCCACCGCACTGGGCCTTCTGTACATTTTAAAAAGGAAGTACATATGTGTGATTGTGTGAATAAATGAATAACGAGTGTGAATAAGGGCTTAAATGAGTGGTGAGATGATGAGCCCATTTTGGTTTTCCTTATGGCTTTTTATTTTTATTTTTTGAGGCGGAGTCTCGCTCTGTCGCCCAGGCTGGGGTGCACTGGCACCATCTCGGCTTCTCGTGCCTCAGCCTCATGAGTAGCTGGGATTACAGGCACGCGCCACCACACCAGTCTAGTTTTTGTATTTTTAGTAGAGACGGGGTTTCACTGTGTTCGCGAGGCTGGTCTTGAACTCCTGACCTCGTGATCCGCCTACCTCGGCCTCCCAAAGTGCTGGGATTACAGGCATGAGCCACCGCGCCCGGCCGCTTTTTATTATTTTTAAAAACCTAATATTTTAAAAGAAAGTAAAGCAAGCTTAAGATTTAAGTCAGTGTAGATGACACATTCCAAACAGGCCTGGTCTGTTACCGGCAGTCACCTGTTCCCCCTGTTCCCACCGTGGCTCCACTTTGGCCTCAGCTCTCAGGAGACTCAGGGCTGAAGTCAGTGCCTGGAAGAAGGAGAATGATCTGACTCTGTTCAGTCTGCTCTAGAAAGGAAGACGCTGCTTCTGTGGCTTTGTTTCGCCATCACGCCGCTTCCTCTGTGGTACCCTGCAGCCAGCTGCTACTTGTGGATTCCTCCTCTCAGCTTGGCTTTGCAAAGGATCAAAGTGTGTCAGGGGGAAGTTTCCACAAAAGAAAATTTCTTCAGAGTGGATTTACGTCTTCCTTTTTCTCTGCATTTCCGGGCTCTCAGTTAATTAGGGCACAGTACTACAAATGGCCCAGAAAACCCAGAAATTTCCCATCCAATTCAAGGGAGATCTGACCCAGGCAAACGAGACTGTATGTTGTTGCTGGCACGAAAGTTCCAGAATGAGGCAGGATTCCCAGGAGAGCGGCATAGGCTTGCAGCTCTGATCTCCTGGGGCTGCCATTCATAAACTCAGTTTGTTGAGTAGACATACACATGTGCTCCTGCAGAAACCGGACACATCAATCGCAAGCCTAGGAGTGAATTTTTTTTTTCCTTATTTTTGTGTGTGAATCTTTAAAAGTCCAATGAGAGGTTGGGCGCCGTGGCTCACGCCTGTAATCCCAGCACTTTGGGAGGCCGAGACGGGTGGATCACGAGGTCAGGCGATCGAGACCATCCTGGCTAACACGGTGAAACCCCATCTCTACTAAAAAATACAAAAAATTAGCCGGGCGTGGTGGTGGGCACCTGTAGTCCCAGCTACTCGGGAGGCTGAGGCAGGAGAATGGCGTGAACCCGGGAGGCGGAGCTTGCAGCAGTGAGCCGAGATCGTGCCACTGCACTCCAGCCTGGGCAACAGAGCAAGACTCCGTCTCAAAAAAAAAAAAAAATGTCCAATGAGACGCCAGGCATGGTCACTCAGGCCTGTAATCCCAGCACTTTGGGAGGCCGAGGCAGGTGGATCACCTGAGGTCAGGAGTTCGAAACCAGCCTGACCAACATGGTGAAACCCCATCTCTACTGAAAATATAAAAATAAGCTGGATGTGGTGGCACGTGCCTGTAATTCCAGATATTTGGGAGGCTGAGGCAGGAGAATCGCTTGAACCCTGGAGGTGGAGATTGCAGTGAGCCGAGATCGCGCCATTGCACTCCAGCCTGGACAACAAGAGCAAAACTCCATTTGAAAAAAAAAAAAAAGGTCCAATGACAAAAGAATTGGTTTCACTCTCCAGCCTGGGGAGGCGGGAGGAAGACCTGAAGGCCTGCAATTCTCTTTTTCGCATCAGATTAAGTCGCTTAGGGCTCATTTCATTCTCTTCAGCTGCCTCCCAGGGACCATGCGCTCCCTGCATAGAGTCCCCTTGGCCTTCATCCCTGTAGAAGGCTTGGTTGTGGCTTGTGGCAGTGTCGCCTTCACAATGTCACATGAATGGGTGGATAGACTACGTAGCTGTTGAGTCATGAACTGTTTGGGTTAGCACTTGGCTCAGAGTGGAGAAGTGTCTGGAGATTTGGAGAAAAGAGATGCTTTCTGAGGCTGCCCCCCGTCAGTGAGGACACGGAAGCTGGCTTATTTACTGTTTTCCTTTCCTGGATCACAGGAAATCTTTGGGGCCTTACTTCAGGAGGAGAGCCTGCTGCTAAGGCAGATGACTTCTCGTGTTGCAAAGCGGCAGAGATGCGCTTTTGATGATGGCCAGCCAGTTCCCCTCAGTGTGGATGATCAAGGGCTGAGCGTGAGTTAACTGCTCCTTTGGTGACTCTCAGATGCGTGGCTTCTCTTCACTGTTTGGCGCCTGGGTGGAGGATGTGGCCAAGGAACCTCTCTCCTTAGATGCTGCGTCCAACGCTGGGTTTTGATCCCTTTGGTCGATCAGCTTCACAGCACCACCCCAGCGCACAGGCTTTCTCTGAACAGCTGCACACGTGGCCACTCATGTAGCCTGCTGATACCGTGTTGCCGTCACCTCTGGCTCTTTCCTCTTCCCCCACCCACCTCGTTTCCTGGGTTTTACCTGCTAATCGGTTCTCTGTCCATGTGGCTAATGCTTTGGTTCAAGCCTGCATGGCTGGGACTGGTGCAGTAGCCTCCTTCCTGGCCATGAGCTTGTGTATTCCATTCTAATATCTGACCCCAACCTCTGCACACCTTGTGCCCTCAGCTGCCCCTGGCCACTCTTGCTTCCCAAGACGTGGCTCGTTCTTTCCTGCGCTCCACTCAGAGGTGTCTCCAGATGCTCCTGTTGACCCCCAGTGCCCTGGCCGCACTTGGTCCCGCCCTCTGTGAATTCCTGGGTCCTTGCTGGTGCCTCAGGAGCTGTGTCTCCTCGCCGGCTGTGTCAGAGCTGCCCTGGCAGCAGCCCTCACTAGAGGGCATGTTCCTTGGGGCAGGAACAGTCTAGCTCCCTCCTGCCCCAGCCCCATGCCAGGCCTGCCTCTGGGCCCCAATGATGTCTGCGGATCCGCACCTAGTGTCTGTCCAGGCAGCCCATCACGGCCCCTTCTCCTCGGGGTGACCGGGCACCTCTGCCGCCCTTGCAGGTATCAGGGCTCATGGCGACTGCTGCAGCATCAACCCGAAGACCGGGGGCGTCATCATGCTCGGCTGGAGGTAAGGGCTGCAGAGTCGGCTTCTCTTCCCTGGAGCCCCACCTTCCGGAGGCCTGGGGGTGGGGGAGGAGGCACTTTCTGTGAGAGTCAGTGATCCCCTTCCTGGGCACCCCACTCCACTCCAGCACCAGGGTGTCCACACCACCCACGCCTCTGCTGATGTCTGGGACCCCCCACCGCCCCCCGGCTGGTGTGCCATGCGTCCCTGTGCCTGTGCACATGCTGCCCCGAGCCTGAAGATCCCCTTTGAGAAAGCATTGTCTGCTCAGTCTGCGACATGGCTAACTGTCCCCCATCTTGGACCCTTTCTGTGTCGTTTCTGGGGTGGGGCATCCTTGTGCCAGCTTCCTTCCCGAGGGCTGGGTCTGGGCGTGATCCAAGTTTCCCTGCCCTGTGATGGGGTTCTCGGGTAGGGGGTGTCAGGGCAGGGGTCCCACAGCAAAGACACAGCAGTGTCCACACCCAAGACAGGGGACGCGTGTGCAGGTGGGAAGGGAGTGAGGTGACAGATGTTCCTGCACAGAGGGGCCTCCCTGGATGTCGCGCTTTAACCTGAGAGGGAGAAAGAGCCATGTGGCGGGGCAAGGAGCTGGGGAGGGGAGCATCCGTGACTGGTCCTGGGGGAGGCCATGTGGAAGGGGGGTGACCTCCCCTGGGACCCCTGGGAGTTGCCTCACTTCAGAGCTGCGGTGTAGCCCTGACTTTTTCTCGCTTTCCAGTGACGGCACGCTCAACCCCGCGGTTCGGCAGCCTGGAAACCTGTAACATAGGTATGTTCTTCTCCCTGAGCGTTCTTGAGTATCCAGGAAGGAGGAGGGTCCTGGTGGGAGCCCCAGGGCGAATTTCCACAGGCCCTACCTTTGGCACGACTCTGGCCCCTTGGTCTCTTGTGTGACAGTGGACGTTTGAGAGCCTGACCTCCTTTTCAGATGATACCTGGCCCACACTGCCGTCCTCATAAAACCTCACATGGGGTCTTTAAGGTCCCTTGGCCCATCCCCATTATATTTCATCCCCCTGGTGAGCTCTGTTGGGTTGGTTACTAGCTTCTACTCTTTTTTTTGTTTTGTTTTTTTGACACAGTCTCTCTCTGTCACCCAGGCTAGACTGCAGTGGTGTAATCTTGGCTCACTGCAACCTCTGCCTCCCAGGTTCAAGCAATTCTCATGCCTCAGCCTCTTCAGTAGCTGGAATTAGAGACATGCACCACCATGCCCAGCTAATTTTTGTATTTTTAGTACAGACAGGGTTTCACCATGTTGACCAGGCTGGTCTTGAACTCCTCACCTCAAGTGATCCACCTGCCTCGGCCTCCCAAAGTGCTGGGATTATAGGCATGAGCCACTGTGCCAACTTGTTTCTGCTCTTATGGGTTAAGAAACCAGAAGCACAGAGAGGGTGCAGGATTGCTGAAGGTCACACAGTGCTATGCAGGACACCAAGCACAGACAGTGTAGGCCTGTGGGTCTCACAGCTGCACGGTGGAGTCCCCTGTGGGCCTTCAGACTGCGCGGCCCAGGGACCCAGGCCCAGCCCAGGCCACAAAGTCGGTCAGATGGCCTCACATGCTAGTGCTTAGGTCAGAGTCCTAAACTTATGTCAAGGTTATTTGTGTAGCCAGGGTGGAGAAATCCTGATGGTCTGATTCCAGCCTTTGTTCCTCCCTCCAGTGGAGTACCCACCACAGGCACCTGCTTTTTTTTTAATTTTTACTTTTGTTTTTTGAGACAGGGTCTTACTCTCTTACCCAGGCTGGAGTGCAGTGGTGCGATCTCAGCTCACTGCAACCTCCACCTCCTGGGCTTAAGTGATCCTCTCACCTCAGCCTCCTGAGTAGCTGGGTCTACAGGTGTGCATCACTATGCCCAGCTAATTTTTGTTTTCGGAGATGAGGTTTTGCCAGGTTGACCAGGCTGGTCTGGAACTCCTGAGCTCAAATAATCAACCCACTTTGGCCTCTTAAAGTGCTGGGATTATAGGTGTGAGCCACTGTGCCCAGCCACCTGCTTCCTTTTTTTTTTTTTTTTTTTTTTTTTTTTTTTGAGACAGGGTCTCACCCTGTTGACCAGGCTGGGGGGCAGTGGCACAATTAGGTCACTGCAGCCTCGACCTCCTCTGCTCAAGCCATCCTCCTGCATCAGCTTCCTGAGTAGCTGTGTCTACAGGCATGTGCCAACATACCTGGCTTAGTTTTTACTTTTTTGTAGAGACAAAGTCTCCTTATGTTGTTCAGGCTGGTCTCAATCTCCTGGACTTAAGCGATCCTCCCACCTCAGCCTCTTAGAGTGCTGGGATTACAGGCGTGAGCCACCCTGCCTGGCTCTTTTTTATCTTGAATTAATCTCTTATTAAGTGAGTAAGGCCCACACCTGGCCCCCTGGTACAACATCACCTGTCCTGCCAAAGCTGAAACTCTCTCTACCTCCCCAGTAATGGGCTTTCTTCCACTTGTGAAACAGCTCCCTCGGCAAATGTCCCTCCAAGACCCTCCTCCTGGGTGGGCTGGGAGAACACAGGCACCCCAGGTAGGCCTGGGGGACGCAGCCTGCCCCTCCTGCTCTGCCAGGTTGCTGTCAGGCCCGATCCTGCACTGAGGGGCCCCCTGTGTGAATGTGTGCCCTCTCCTGTCTCCACAGTGGACTCCTTTGAGGAGGTGGAGGACAGCCTGTATGTCCCCCAGTATAACAAGTACGGGGAAGAGAGGGTGATCGTCTTCCTGAAGACAGCCTCTGGGCACGCCTTCCAGCCTGACTTGGTGAAGAGGATCTGTGACGCCATCCGCGTGGGCTTGTCTGTGCGGCATGTGCCCAGCCTCATCCTGGAAACCAAGGGCATCGCGGTATGACCGTCTTCTGCCAGCGACGAGACCAGTGCCATCACCCCATGAGCCCACACGTCGAGGGGCGCTCACATCTGAGTAGTTTGCTGGTGCTTTACATATCGTTTGTCCACGTTGCCTAGCAATGCCATCCTCTCTGCCATCTTTTTTCCTACTCTTTCTAAGACTGCATTTAAAGCAATTTCTGCTAAATACCCACGTTCAGAGGGTTAGCGAGCCCAGCCCTGCAGGTCCGACTGGCTTATCCCTGCTAACCCCTGGTTTTAGTGTGTTCTCAAAATTGTTAATGAGAACATTAATTTTAACATTGTATTTTTTATTTTATTTATTTTTTTGAGACTGAATCTTGGTCTGTCACCCAGGCTGGAGTGCAATGGCTCAATCTCAGCTCACTGCAACCTCCGCCTCCCAGGTTTAAGCAATTCTCCTGACTCAGCCTCCTGAGTAGCTGGGACCACAGGCACACGCCACCATGCTCGGCTAATTTTTGCATTCTTAGTAGAGACGGGGTTTTGCCATGTTGGCCAGGTTGGTTTCAAACTCCTGACCTCAAGTGATCCGCCCACCTTGGCCTCCCAAAGTGCTGGGATTACAGGCATAAGCCACTGCACCCAGCCAATTTTTTTTTTTTTTTTTTGGGATGGGGTCTTGCTTTGTCACCCAGGCTGGAGTAGAGTGGCGTGATCTCGGCTCACTGCAACCTCCGCTTCCCAGGTTCAAGCGATTCTCCTGCCACAGCTTCCTAAGTAGCTGGGATTATAGGTACCTCCCACTGTGCCCAGCTAAATTTTTGTATTTTTAGTAGAGACAGGGTTTCACCATCTTAGCCAGGCTGGTCTCGAACTCCTGACCTTGTGATCCACCCGCCTCGACCTCCCAAAGTGCTGATTACAGGCGTGAGCCACTGCACCCAGCCAATTTTAACCTTTTAAAGAGCTGCTGGGAGCTGTTGCTCTTGCCTTTTAATTTTAAGTTCTGCTGACACAGACGAGACTTGACTCTTTTTAGAGGCAGGTCTTCAAAGGTTGCGTCGTCGTCCCCCAGCTCCCCGCCCCAGTACACTCTGCTTCGAGTCTAAGTTGGGGAGGAGGAGGTTCACCCAGATTGGATCACAGCTTTAATTTGCATTGCTTACAAAATGGATGTCCCCGCAAGCTGACAGAAGCTGTTGTATGTGTGCACGTGTGTATGTGAATGTACACACACAACAATTTAAACAGACAGTGGGAGGCTGTATTTAAAGCCTACAGACTGGCTGTTCATTAAGGAGAAGATGGGAGCAGACACTCACTGGGTTCCCAGGAGAAGCTGACTTTGACGTTGCCCAGGAGCTGGGCTGAGTCTGTGAGGAATAACCAGAGACAGGATTTACCAGGAGAGGCTGTTTTCTGGACGATGTTGAAATATGTGATGCCATTGACTTTGAAACCTGCAGATCATTCTCTTTGTCTTAAAAAAAGTTCTTTCAACATCTTGAAAACAGTCTGTCCAGTGGTGGGGGCTGGGGAGAGCACTCGCAGCATGGCCACTGCGTGCGATCCCCGACCATCCCTGGAGGACCGATTCCCGCTCGGAACCCTTGTTCCTCCTCCTCCCGGCCCCTGTCCACATCTGCGGTGTTGGTTCCTTTTCTGTGGCGTCCACACATTTCCTTTGCGTTCTGGTTCTGCGTGGGAAGAGCCCTGCAGCTTGGGAGCTTTCCATCCATCTCTCTCTTTTTTTTGCTTGGTGACTCTTGGCGGCTCTCTGCAGGGACATTGGTGCTCTCCAAGAAGGTACTTCTTTAATCAGTGATGCTTTTTGTCTTTTCCTGATGAGGGTCTGTTTTTCTTGGGTGAATAAGTGCTGTCTCATCTGGAACATTTTAGGGAACTGGAATTTGAATTTGTCCCCTTGGCTTTATTTTATTGAAAAAGAACTTGGGTCTTTTGCTTCCGAAATGGTTATTACCAAACCGTATCTGATCACAAGAGTAGTGGAGCAATTTATTAGGAAGGGAGAAAACTAAGCACGTTTCTTTCCATGGTTATTCTGGCTTTCATAGGCTTGCTGCCAGGGTACCCAGCTGGGCTCTGGGCTCTGGGCTCTTTTTCTCCCCAGGTAGGGTCTTCTCCTGGGTCCATTCGGGAAGTCATTGGGAGGGTTTCTCCAGGTTTTTGAATGCCCTTGGATTTTCGGACCCTCGTGGCAG